>NC_000004.12:116800168-116951684 GCF_000001405.40 Homo sapiens
AAATCTTCCAACGAGTATACTTTGTGTTAGATAAGAGTTTGAGGTATTATAACATTGTTTTAATAAGGTAAAAGACGAAGGAAATAAAGGGACTGAATTTCAGAGTTGAAAGAAAAGGGGGGAAGGCTGAACTCCAAGTGCAAAAGCAATTATGTACTATCACATCAGTAGAAAGACAAAGGGGGAATACAGTCCTGATATTAGAATATTGAAAGAAAATATTTCTGCATTTTTGTCATTTCAGACAGGGATGCAGACAAAGACAGAAGCATAGGCAGAATTACCAAGTGTGTTGAAAATAGATGGAAGGAAAAATTAAATTTTTTTTTAATGCTGCTGCAGACAAAGGGTTAGGATCATTTTCCAGATGTTCTCAAAATACAAATAAAGGCTTAGAGCATATTTTAGGTTGTTACAGTTGGTATATTTTTTTATGTTGTACATATTTTATTTTCTTGAAATCTTGAATGCAGAGGGACTAGGTCATCTCATTATTCAGCTAATGAAGCTTTATTATTATCAGTTAGTACAGGACCCCATTCATGGGGTGTATTTATATAATTATTTTAACCACAAAATAAAATATGTGTGTTTATATACTTATTTTAACCACAACACTCACTTTTGTCACAATGCAGCCAATATATTATTTGATGTGTAACTTTGACAATCCTTATGAAATATGTACTGATGTTTTATATATGCATTTTAAGTATATGAATCATATTTTTTCTCACATGATCTGTGATAATTACTATTTCCCCCAAATCCAATGCACACTGATACTTTGTAAGATGAAAATAATAATTTAAATAAGGAAGTTATAAAAATGCATATTATGAGATATACGTATGAAAATACATTTTAGTAAACACTATAAGACAAACATAGCATAAGGAAAAAAGAAGTCTAGAACTGCAGATGTTTATTGAAAGTGAAATTATGAGTGAAGTATTAACTCCCCATATTATATCCCTGTATACATACTTTGGATAGACAGCATGTATTTCAATTTCTTATTTGTTTTCCTCACTTTTCTTATTTCTCCTATCTGTTTTCTTTGTAATTTTTTTTTATTTTTAAGATGGATTTTTTTTACTTCAGTTTCTTTGCTGAGTTTGAACCCAATTCAATGCATTTCTATTTTTGTTCATTTCTGTTTTTATGTTTTAAATTTCTTATTCTGGATGTTTATATCAGCTGAAATGTTGTATTAGTCTGTTTTCATACTGTATAAATACCTGAGACTGGGTAATTTATAAAGAAGCTTAATTTACTCACGGTTCCACACGGCTTGCGAAGCCTCAGGAAACTTACAATCATGGTGGAAGGCGAAGGGGAAGCTAGCACCTTCTTCACAAGGTGGCAGGAGAGAAAAGAGCAAAGAAGGAACTTCCAAACACTTATAAAATCATCACATCTCGTGAGAACTCACTCACTCTCCTGAGAACAGCATGGGGGACACTGCCCCTGTGATCCAATCACCTCTCTCCCTCCACATGTGGGGATTCAGGTCTCTCCCTGGACACATGGGGATTACAATTTGAGGGAGATTTGGGTGAGGACACAGCGCCAAATCATATCAAATATTACAACTTATATTTTCTGATTTCTTCTTACAGTACGCTGCTATGGAGGTTTTTTGGAGGGGTTTTTCTTTGTTCGTTTGTTTGCTTTCTCTCCCTATCCCTTTGGGGGACAAATTATGATGTTTAAGAGGATCATTTTTTTTCAGTATAGCAGAGTACAATTTTTCATTGGACAGCTTTGGTGGTAGAGAAATGGTTGGATCAGCCTAGTTTCTGAGTCTTTTACATTTCTGCGGGGTCCTTAATTTTTCCCTATTTGTGCCTTCATTTCCTTCACTGCCATTTACATGATTATTCCCCATAATCAGTGCTTCCATCCAACTGCCCCTACAGTCCAGCACACTTTTAAGCACTTTTCTTGAACACTACAAGGTCACAATTATACTAATTTCAGCAATTAGTCTTGAACTTTTTTGTTTTAGACAAAAATTTTTCTGTTCTTCTCAATTTACTCTCCAAACACCCCTCCCTTTCTTTTTGTTAACGAGTGCCATAAGCCTTCTCTTTCCCTTCTGCCTTATAGGAATAGATAGTGGGAATTACCTTGGAATTTGGAGGTCTTTTCTTCACATAGGGACAATTTGAAGTTTTTGGTATTCTCTGTCTCCTAGTGAGGTTGAAGTGATAAACTATGGATGATGTTGTTTATACTATTCCTTGATTTTAATATTTTGAGGATGGATCCACGGAGACAGTTTGATTTAAGAACGAGCTATTAACTTTTAGAAATTATTTTCAATACTATGTATGTCAATATTTAAAGATCTTATTGTGATAAGTTCACTTCTTACTTGATAAAATATGCAATATAGGCTGGATTAATGGCAACATGACTCAGAAAGGATAATATATATCTAAATTATAGATCTGTTTTATTTTAATAACACCTTTAATAGAGAAAACCAAAAAGGTATATTGATGTGAATAAAAATTAGATTTTAAAGAAATGTAAGCAAGCTCATGATTTTTATATTTATTGACTATCCAAAATGAAGTATGTGATGCCATATTTTCAAAGTTAATTGGCAATCATTAATTTGTTGCTACTTCTAAAATATATTGTCTAAAGTAATAGCTAAAGTAAAAGACAATTTAACAAAATCAAGTGATATGTAGCACACATGAGAGTTAAATTTGTACTTATATGTGCATATATCATATTGAGGCTATGTACGCAAGATGATATAACAATAGCATCAAGACCTCAGGATCTGGAACCTGACTGCCTCAGTTTGACTCATGATAGTGCCATTACTTAGTTGTGTGACTTTGGACAAGTTATCAATCTCAGTTTTAACCTCAGTTTCCTCAATCATAAAATGTGGCTAATAATAGTACCTAGATCATGGAGTTATATAGGCAATAAAAAATGGATTAATACCTTTGAATCCTTCAAAAATAACTGAACTAGACTATGCAGTGAATATATATTAGCTAGTAACTTTATATATGTACTGGCATTTGTTATACTACTGATACATTACACATGACATACATTAAAGGGATTATTTCATTATATCTATTTTAAGCATTTCATACACTATATGACATACAGTATAAAAATGCAATCTATTCATTTATGACTAAATGTTTGTACATTACTGTTTTCTACATGAGCTCTTTTCTCTTGCAATTTTAAATCTTCTTGCTTACATTGTAACCCAAGTTTCTAGGTATCACTATTTTGTGACTATAAAACTTTACAAACCTGGAGAAAAACAATAGTTCCCTTCTCCATGCTGAGTCATGTTTGATATTGTGCATCACTCAGAACTTTCTTATATCTCAGTTCTTTTGTAATGAAGCGTAAGTGTGATTTAATGTATTAGAAAATATTTCTGATATATCGAATGTCTAGTAAATAATACAAGAAAAATTATTCTGCCAAGTCAAATTGCTTCCACTATTTTGAGATTTCCCTGAATACCATGTAGTCATCAACAAACATAATTACTTCATCCCAGAATTGTTTTATGCAGCGGGAACACAGCAGTGAGCAAGAGTCTCTGCTTAACTGTCAGACATCTTCACTAACCAAGCTATCTGAAATAGAATACTTTCCCAACTATTCATGAACTTTTTATTTTGTCTCATTTTCATTTATAAATATTATAACTAACAGAAAGTATAATATATATTTAAATGTTATAAATAAACAGAGCCTACAAAGCCTGTTTTATTCAATTCTTCTCAAGGTGTAAGTTGAAAAATAACATTAAATCATTTAGAACCTACTAAAATTATAACTATATATTGTTGATTGTGATGGAAAATTACTTCATTTGGGATTAGTTATACAATATTATAGAATGAAGGGTATCTTTTAGAAAGAAAAATACTTACAGATTTAATTAAAATACTAAATTAAGATAGAAGCAAAGTTATAATCATGAAATTAAATTGAAGAGACTAAATTAGAATACACTGTAATGTATTTTTGCTTCAAATTATATACTGCATATTTGATATGTAAAGGAGCATCAGGTATCACTTCATTTATAAACTGTAAAATGTAAGGACTTAATTTTTTCAAAAACAATACTTCTTTCTATATGTAATCTACTGTCTTTAAATTTCTATTATAGTTAGTGTGCCTTTTTTAGTAGTGTTTATGTTCTACTTAAGTGTTCGTGCCCAGTGTACTAAAATGTTTTACTTATCAATTGTTCTTTTTTATCACTAGTCTATAAGATGGTTTTACAATGTGGTACTAAATTGTCAAGCATATAAGCAATTTATTTTCACAGATAATATTCTTAGATCTTAGAAGATGCAAAACATCGTTTTTTTTTAATTTTTGAAAATGCAGTTTTGAGCAAAACATGCATTTAAGATCTATGTCCTAGAAGTGTGATCCTGTTATCATTATACCTCTGGATTGAGAATGTAGAAAATAATACAGGGGAAAGACTGTTTCGTTAAGAATGAAAACTTCCATTAGTTGTATGTTTCTGGAAATAAATCAGCAAACCTATTCAGCTACAGTTTCCACACCAATAAAAAACTAATGGTGCCTTACTCCATTTTGTGCTATTATAACACAATATCTGAGACCAAATAATTTATGAAGAACATAAATTTATTTTTTTCACAGTTCTGGAGGCTGGATGTCCAAGATCTAGGCACCAGTAAGATCTGTTGTCTGGCAAAGGCTACTCTCTGCTTCCAACATTATGCCTTCTTGCTATATTTTCCGGAAGACAAGAACACTGTGTCCTCATCTGGCTTCACATAGCTTCAGACACAAGAAAATCTAATGTTGCATGAGCCCTCTTTTATGAGGGACTTAATCCTATCATGAGGGAAGGAGCTCTTATGACTCAATCACCTCTTAATACCATCACAATGGTCATTAAGTTTCAACACTAGATTTTGGAGGGGACAGAGTCAAACCATACCATGGCCACTACTGATCCTCAAGTTTTACTTTTCTTTAGTAGTACAAGAAATTAGATGAATTGTGAAATTACCTTTACTTGCTTCCTGTATGTTCTGGTATTGGAGAAAATGAGTATTTTTTGCATAATTCTCTACCATTAATACATTTAACCTATGCAAGAGAATGTCCTGTATCTGAGACCAGATGAATATGCAATTAATCATTTCCTAGAAAAAAAAATTCAGGATAGATTTAAGAATGCAATACATTTTAAAACCTTAAGATTCAAAGTGGAAATTCTGAATAGAATTTCCACAAATTTAGAATAATAATTAATTTACCATAATAAAACTCATGATAATGATAAAACTACTACAACAGTTTAAAAATTATTGATACATGGTGTGAGAGGAGGGAGAGAATCAGGAAAAATAACTAATGAGTACTAGGCTTAATATCTGAGTGATGAAATAATCGTACAGCAAACCCATATGATACAAGTTTACCTATGTAACGAACCTTCACATATACCCCTGAACTTAAAATACAAGCTAATAAACAAAAAAGTAAAACAAAACAAAACAAAAGTTTACACCTTACCATTGCTCTAAGTATTGAAATGATTATTAATCCAAAAATACTTTCTACATATTATACTGTACAATTGTAATTGAAGTGCTAGTCTCTTTCTTAAAGCAATTCTATTTCTACATCTAAATATTTCAAGCATTTTCTGAGGACAAGATTTTGTGCTGCTATTTTAGATAATGACTAATCTCAATCATCAGGCATGCAGATCACAAAGACAGTTAACTTTAATGCTAAGTATAACAAAACATATTAGTATATTTATGTATGTTTTGCAGTATTGTATACCACAGTTTATCTTTTATATAAATGATAAAAGTATATTTGAGGCTTTTAATAATGAAACTTACTTGAAGATAATACTCTTTTCTTGTGCTACAATATATGGCATTTCAAATGCTTAATATGTATTTTTTTCAAGTAGCACATTTGTATTGATTAAAATAATTCAGTTTCTAGGCTAATGTACCAGTTATAGAAGGGAGAACTTTAAATTGTAAAGTGTCAGTCATCTCATACCTTTTAGAAATGGCATGTTAAATAACATCTCTTAGTGCATTATGAGATAGCAGCTTCTAAAATGGACTGCACAAATCCCAGAAATGTAGAAATCGGATTAACATTACATGTAATGCTGAATAATATTCCTATTAAACCTTGACATCTTTTGTTTATATTCATATCGTTTACTTTTTCTAACTCGTGGTTAGTCAGAGACCCCATACCTTTTTAGACAATGCCTTTAATAATTTTTATGGAGTAAATGCAATGTGAGCCCAATTGCTGTTTGAAACTCATGACTGTTCTTATTGGATTGTACTTACATTCACAGTGCCATGTTCCAAGACTAGCTGGCTATTACACTTCCTCATTTCTGCATTGTAATAATAAAGTAATTTAAATCCGTTTATTTATTTTGTATTCATAAGTACTCAAACCTGGAAGCAGAAAAACAAAAGACATTGGAAATGTAAAATTAATAAAAATCAAACATTTTGCAATCTTTGTTATTTATCCATAATCTTAGCATTGTGGCTATTATAACTAAATTCTACCAGTAAAACTATCCCTATTTCTGAAAGTTGGTGCTAATTCAAAAACCACTTTCTAAGATTAGATTATATACACACATATTTGAAACATAATAAAAATGTTTAAATAATGAGAAGATAAAAACAAGCATTAGAGCTATTGCATATTTAAGGCAATATAGAAAGTAAGTGAAACAGAAATAACAGATGTATATCTAATATGATAAAGTCTGTGAAAACACAAAAGGACTTAAGCCCCTTTGGTTATCATATAAATACTGAAATCTGGGATAGGTTATGTAGGAAGAAAATAATTATTAAAATCTAAATAATAATTTTATATATAAAAGCCTATATCTTTATGACTGATAGACATTTATCTCTATGCAGAGAAGCAACTATTACTTTACAAATGGTTGTGTTTCAAACTCCCATTTATAAGTCACCTGTTAGTATCTCTGTAATTTTCCATTGAAATTCTTGCTTGGCTTGTTACTTGCCAGTTCTTCTCTCCGCCAAAAAAAATAAATAAATAAAAAACAAAAAAGCTTATTTAATAATTGAACAGAATTATTGTTCATTTTTAAAATAAAATTCAGAAAATCCAACGTTTCAAATGTATATTACTTTAGCACTATTAATTAAATAGTATTTGTAATTCATCTTATCCAAAATGAGAAATCTTAATGCTATTCTCCTCCTTTCATTTTCTAAACCTAAGGAGACTTCAGAAAACTTCTCAGAGCACTCAGAAGACTTCAGAAATAAACAATAATAATCTATGGATAATCAACTTTGTTATCCTGTTGATGCTCTTATTAGATATTTAAATAAATCTTTAATACATGAATATCATAATATTGTATGACATTCATGTTTTTAAATTTTAAAAAATGTTTAACTCAAAAAAATTTGAGTTTTAGGTATATACTATCATATCTAAGTGGACCATCTTCCAGAGTCAATCAAATCACATTTCCTGAGAAACACATCCCATGAGCTGCTTATGTCCTGGCATCCTTTTATTCTGTATATGCTATCATATTCATCTATTACTTAACAATGGTTAAAACTATAAACAATATAAGCCAACTGGTTTTTAAACTGAGGGATATTCATAATATTCAGAGACTACAAAACTGTTGTATAACAATGTTTAATACAATTCGTACATTTATGTTCTATTGCTACATTAACAAATTGCCTCAAGGTTGATACCTTAAACACTACAAATTGATATCCTTTTTTATTATACTATAAGTTTTAGGGTACATGTGCAGAACATGCAGGTTTGTTACATATGTCTACATGTGCCATGTTGGTGTGCTGCACCCATTAACTCGTCATTTACATTAGATATATCTCCTAATGCTATCCCTCCCCCCTCCCCCCACCCCACAACAGTCCCCAGAGTGTGATGTTCCCCTTCCTGTGTCCATGTGTTCTCATTGTTCAGTTGCCACCTATGAGTGAGGACATGCGGTGTTTGGTTTTTTGTCCTTGCGATAGTTTGCTGAGAATGATGGTTTCCAGCTTCATCCATGTCCCTACAAAGGACAGGAAGTCATCATTTTTTATGGCTGCATAGTATTCCATGGTGTATATGTGCCACATTTTCTTAATCCAGTCTATCATTGTTGGACATTTGGGTTGGTTCCAAGTCTCTCCTATCGTGACTAGTGCCTCAATAAACATATTTGTGCATATGTCTTTATAGCAGCATGTTTTATAATCCTTTGGGTATATACCCAGTAATGGGATGGCTGGGTCAAATGGTATTTCTAGTTCTAGATCCCTGAGGAATCGCCACACTGACTTCCACAATGGTTGAACTAGTTTACAGTCCCACCAACAGTGTAAAAGTGTTCCTATTTCTCCACATCGTCTCCAGCACCTGTTGTTTCCTGACTTTTCAATGATCACCATTCTAACTGGTGTGAGATGGTATCTCATTGTGGTTTTGATTTGCATTTCTCTGATGGCCAGTGATGATGAGCATTTTTTCATGTGTCTTTTGGCTGCATAAATGTCTTCTTTTGAGAAGTGTCTGTTCATATCCTTCACCCACTTGTTGATGGGGCTGTTTGTTTTTTTCTTATAAATTTGTTTGAGTTCATTGTAGATTCTGGATATTAGCCCTTTGTCAAATGAGTAGATTGCAAAAATTTTCTCCCATTCTGTAGGTTGCCTGTTCACTCTGACGGTAGTTTCTTTTGCTGTGCGGAAGCTCTTTAGTTTAATTAGATCCCATTTGTCAATTTTGGCTTTTGTTGCCACTGCTTTTGGTGTTTTAGACATGAAGTCCTTGCCCATGCCTATGTCCTGAATGGTATTGCCTAGGTTTTCTTCTAGGGTTTTTATGGTTTTAGGTCTAGCATGTAAGTCTTTAATCCATCTTGAATTAATTTTTGTATAAGGTGTAAGGAAGGGATCCAGTTTCAGCTTTCTATATATGGCTAGTCAGTTTTCCCAACACCATTTATTAAATAGGGAATCCTTTCCCCATTGCTTGTTTTTCTCAGGTTTGTCAAAGATCAGATACTTGCAGATATGTGGCATTATTTCTGAGGACTCTGTTCTGTTCCATTGGTCTATATCTCTGTTTTGGTACCAGTACCATGCTGTTTTGGTTACTGTAGCCTTGTAGTATAGTTGGAAGTCAGGTAGCATGATGCCTCCAGCTTTGTTCTTTTGGCTTAGGATTGACTTGGCAATGCAGGCTCTTTTTTGGTTCCATATGAACTTTAAAGTAGTTTTTTCCAATTCTGTGAAGAAAGTCATTTGTAGCTTGATGGGGACGGCACTGAATCTATAAATTACCTTGGGCAGTATGGCCATTTTCATGATATTGATTTTTTCCTACCCATGAGCATGGAATGTTCTTCCATTTGTTTGTATCCTCTTTTATTTCACTGAGCAGTGGTTTGTAGTTCTCCTTGCAGAGGTCCTTCACATCCCTTGTAAGTTGGATTCCTAGGTATTTTATTCTCTGTGAAGCAATTGTGAATGGGAGTTCACTCATGATTTGGCTCTCTGTTTTTCTATTATTGGTGTATAAGAATGCTTGTGATTTTTGCACATTGATTTTGTATCCTGAGACTTTGCTGAAGTAGCCTATCAGCTTAAGGAGATTTTGGGCTGAGACGATGGGGTTTTCTAGATATACAATCATGTCATCTGCAAACAGGGACAATTTGACTTCCTCTTTTCCTAATTGAATTCCCTTTATTTCCTTCTCCTGCCTGATTGCCCTGGCCAGGCAGATCTATAGATAAAGAAGTCCAACATGGGTCTCACTGTATTAAAATTAAGGTATTTCCAGGCCTGTATTTCTTTCTGGGGGAGAATCCATTTCATTGTCTCTCTCAGTTTTCTGAAGCTGCCCCTATTCCTAAACTTATGTTCCCTTGCTCCATTGTCGAAGTCAGCAATGTAGCATCTTTATGACCATTCTTTTATACTCAAATTTCCCTTGGATTGCAGCCAGGAAAAGTTTTATCCTTTTATGATTTAGGTAATTAGACTGGGTCCAATAGGAAAATTCAGAATAAATACTCCATCTCAAGGTCCTTAATCCTAATCACATCTGCCATGTAAAGCAACATATTTACAGGTTACTGGATTGGGGAGTAGACATCTTTGAAAGGCCATTTTGCTTACCACAGTTAGATTTACTCACAGTATATTAATTGATGAAAAATATTCAGCTAAAAAAAGAGTACCAGTAAGATAAAAATGGCAAATAGAATACTTGTAAAAACTAAAGGAATTTATTCATTAAAAAATGAAAGGGACTACTATGTTTTAGGTTATGTTGTTATGAAGATGACAACAGTGAATAAATAGACTCTCCCCTTATGAAGCATAATTTAGTTGAGCAGAGTGAATGTGAAACATAAATTGTATAAATGCAAACTGCGATTACAAGCAGTGAAAAGTGCTGTAAATAAATATACAGCTGCATAAGGGCATGGAGGGTGCTGTATCTCAGGAGGCCCCAGTTAAAACAAGGTACTTAGAAAAGAGCTCTACAAAAATTGAAATCGAGAGAGAAAACCAAATAAAGTCATTAGATGAACCTTGAGAAGATCTTAATAAAATTATTCTGCAAGAGATATTAAGATGTTGCTAAGATTTTAAAAGAAAGAAAAAACAGCGTGTGTTTAAGGAAGTACAAAAATAGCAGTTTGTCTGAAGCAGGGTGAGCACAGGGAAGAAGTCAATTTTGGACATGTTAAATTTGAGATGAGTATTATAAATGCAAATCAAAGTGTCAGAATTAGATATAACTGGTTTAGACTTTAAGAGAGAGTCAGGGCTAGAGTTGGAGACAGTCCCCAGCAAATGGTTGATAGTTCACACTCTGGTCTGGGACTTAGTGTGGAAGAGCCAAAACTGGATGCTCAGATGGTGGGGCCAGTAAGATAAAAGAAGAAACAGGAGAGTGTCATGTCCACGAAATCACCTAAAGTAGTGGTTCAAGAAGGGGGTGATCAGTTATATTCACATAGGTGATTAACCAAGAACTGTTTTTAAAACAGGAGATCCTAAAAATAGATATGAATACACCTTAAACATTTTAATTTAACTTAAATATTCATTTATGAGTCCATTGTTTGATGTGGTGGACAACGATTTTTTATTCCAGGGTGGATTCATTAATAGATGTAATGTATTAATGGAGAATATTTCATGATTTTTAAAAACACCTATCCTGTCATTTTTGATTGTCTTGTTCACACTTAATAATATACATGTTCAAATAATTTTTACAAAACATTTCATTTATTACAGAAACACTCATTTCCTATTTAAAGTCATGTTTCAGAAGTTTATGTGATTTTTACTTAATTATAAACTACAATCATAAATATAGCTGGCACAGAATGTGTGGAAATAAATATAACATAATACTTGGTGAAAACAAAACTGTCAGAATATTAGAATATTAAAGTGTAGAATGATAAAAACACATATTCAGCAATTTGTGATAGTTTGTTTTACATAAAGAATGGAGAGTATCAGTTTGTGAAATGAGTAGGGTAAGTGGAGGGTAAAAGAAATTCTAATCCATACCACATTTTTAATGTTAAATTAATATGACAGATATTACAGAGTGCTTTACAAACATTATGCCTGATCATCACCTAAAACTTGTGAGGTCAGTCAGGTTGTAAATAAGAAAACTGCTGAACAGACAGATTAAGTATATTGCTAAAGTCAAACAGTTAGTGATATAGCCCAGGGGTTCCCAAACTCTGGGCCAGGGGCTGGGGGCTGGTGCTGGTCCCTGGCCTGTTAGGAAATGGGCTGCACAGCAAGAAGTGAGTGGCCGGTGGCAGGGGGTTGGGGTAGGGGGCGGTTAGGAGCTTTTTCTGTATTTACAGCAACTCACCATGGCTCATATTACCACCTGAGTTCTCCCACCTGTCACATCAGCAGCAGCATTCGGTTCTTATAGGAGCCGGAACCCTATTGTGAACTGCACATGCAAGGGATCTAGTTTGCGGTTTTCTTATGAGAATCTAATGCCTGAGGATCTGCCACTGTCTCCCATCGTCTCCAAATGAGACTGTCTAGTTGCAGGAAAACAAGCTCAGGGTTCCCACTGATTCTACATTATGGTGAGTTGTATAAGTATTTCATTATATATTATAATGTAATAATAATAGAAATAAAGTGCACAATAAATGTAATGTGCTTGAATCATCTGAACACCATCCCCTACCCCAGTCCTAGGAAAAATTGTCTTCCACAAAACCAGTCCCTGGTGCCAAAAAGGTTGGGGAATGCTGATATAGCTGATACTTGAAAACAGAATGGTAGAACCCAAAAGTCCATGTTTGGGTTTTTTGCTATTAAATTTCTTCCATAAAATATAAACTGTAAACTGTGCTTTTACTTGAAATATTCTTAAAGTTATTTATAATTTTAACATCATATTTCGAATCAAGTATAAACATTGTTTAACAAATATTATTTACTAAAAGTAAATAGATAGTTCAATGTTCCATAGACAATGAAGAAGGTTTTAGCATACATATTGAGATTTTTACCTAATCTATTTCTACTGAATTATTTTCAGAGAGATGAAAATTTATAATTTACATTTATAAGCATGTAATCCAATGATTTTTCCTCCTTTTAAGCAGACTATTGTTAAGAGTAGGTTTAAGTTGACAGCAAAATTGAGCAGAAAGTACAGAGAGTTCCCAAGTACGCTTTGCCTCAACATGAATACGGCTTCCCTCACTATCAGCATCTCACACTGGAGTGCAATACCTGTTACAATTCATAAACCTAAATGTACAAATCATTATCACCCAGAGTCCATAGTTAGCATTAGGATTCATCCTTGAAGTTATACGTTGTGGATGGGTTTTGACAAATGTGTAATGACATGTGTTCCACCATGATAGTATCATACAGAATAGTTTCAGTACCTTAAAAATTCTTTGTGCTTTACCTATTCATCCTTGTCTCCCCATTTACCCATGGCATAAACTGATCTTTTTAATATCTTCATAATTTTGCCTATTCTGGAATGTCATATAATTAGAATCATATAATGTGTAGACTTTTCAGATTGGCTTCTTTCACTCAATGATAAGTATGAAAATTTCCTTTACATCTATTCCTGGCTTGATAGATCACTTATTTTCAGCACTGAATAATGTTCCCTTTGTCTGCATTTACCACAGTCTGTCCATTCATTCACATACTAAAGATGTTGGCTGATTTCATGGCTTGGAAATTATGAATGAAACTGGCATAAATATTCTGGTGCAGGTTTTTGTATGGACATGGGTTTCAACTCCTTTAGGTAAATATCAAGAAGGGTATTTGTTGGATCGTATAGTAAGAGTATGTTTACTTTGAATGAAACTGCCAAACTGTCTTCCAAAGTGACTGTTATCATTTTACATTCCACCAGCAGTGAATGAGAGTCCTTGTTCTTTCATATTCTCCCCAGAATTTGGTGTTATCAGTGCTTTAGATCTGGCTCATTCTTATAAGTATATAATATATCTTATTATTGTTTTAATTTTAATTTCTCAAATGCAATACAATACGAAGGATACTAAAGTTAAAGGGAAAAAACAGCTTCAAAAAAGGGTGTATGTGAGGCTGTAAGAATAATATATTTTCAAAATAGAATTAAAATAAATCAATAATTAAGGTAAAATTAAAACTCATGAACATAGATACATTTTTTCTTATTTTTCTTTTAAAAGAAGAAACTCAAGCCATGTCACTTTATGCAACCATGTGAGGTATCTTTACATATTTTTGCCCCTATTTTTTCTATAGCACTGTATTAGTTTCATAAGACTAAAACAACAAACTGCCACAAACCAAGTTGTTTAAGGTTGCTTAAAACAACATAGCTTTATCCTCTCATTTATTCAGAAGCATAGACATCTAAAATCAAGATGTCAGCTGGATCATCTCTCTCTGAAGGCTCTAGGGACGAATTCTTCCTTGATCTTTAAAGCTTCTGGTGATTGCCAGCATTATTTGGAGTTCCTTGATTTGCAGCTGTGTTAGTCCAATTTCTGCCTCTGTCTTTACGCAGCTGTTTTCCCTGTTTCTGTGTCCCGGTGTCTTAACATGTATTTCTTATAAGGTCCCCAGTAATTGGATTTAGAGGTCAGTCTAATCCTATATGACCCCATCTCAACTTGATTACATTTGTAAAAATCCTATTTTCAAATAAGGTCACATTCCCAGATAAGGGAGGATTAGGTCTCCTATATATGCCTTTGGAGGGCACAATTTAGCCCACACAGGCACTGTTCTCCATTAATAAAAACAAGCAAAAGTGAAAAGCCTGGAAAATCTTTTTGTCTTTAAAATGCAAGGATTTTTTTAAAGAAATCTTTAAATAATATCTCAAAGGAGAGGAAAGTCAACAATTGCAAAATAAATATACCATTGACAAAGTAGTAATTATTTCAGTGAAAAAAGAATTGTTATCAATTAAAAGGAAAAAGCATTGCTATCAAAGAAAGAGCATTGCTATCAGGTAAAATATTTAAAACTTGTTTTTAAGATTGCTGACAAGATGGCTGAATAGGAACATAGGAACAGCTCCGGTCTGCAGTTCCCAGTGAGATAGACGCAGAAGGAGGGTGATTTCTGCATTTCCAACTGATGTACCCAGTTCATGTCACTGGGACTGGTTGGACAGTGGATGCAGCCCACGGAGGGTGATCCGAAGCAGGGTGGGGCATCACCTCACCTGGGAAGTGCAAGGGGACGTGGCATATTCTGCTGTACCCAAGGGAAGCTGTGAGGGAATGAGCCTGAGGAACTCTGGCAGAGATACTGCACTTGTCCGGTGGCCTTCACAACCCACAAAAACCAGGAGATTCCCTCCTACGCCTACCACACCAGGGCCCTGGGATTCAAGCACAAAAATGGGCGGCCATTTGGGCAGACACCCAACTAGCTGCATACCCCAGTGGCACCTAGAACACAAGTGAGACAGAACCATTCACTCCCCTCGAAAGGGGGCTGAAGCCAGGGAGCCAAGTGGTCTGGCTCAGTGGGTCCCACCCTCAAGGAGCCCAGCAAACTAAGATCCACTGGCTTGAAATTCTAGCTGTCCTCACAGCAGCAGTCTGAGATCAACCTGTGACTCTCGAGCTTGGTGCGGGGAGGGGTGTCTGCCATTACTGAGGATTGAGTCAGTAGTTTTATGCTCACAGTGTGGAAAAAACCGCTGGGAAGTTCGAACTGGGCAGAGCCCACTGCAGCTCAGCAAGGCTGCGGTGGTCAGACTCCAGGATTTCTCTTCACTGGGCAGGGCATCTCTGAAAAAAAGGCAGCAGCCTCAGTCAGGGACTTATAGATAAAACCCCCATCTCTCTGGGACAGAGCACCTGGGGAAAGGCACTGCTGTGGGCGCAGCTTCAGCAGACTTAATCATTCCTGCCTGACAGCTCTGAAGACAGCAGCGGACCTCCCAGCACAGCGTTCGAGCTATGCTAAGGGTCAGACTGCCTCCTCAAGTGGGTCCCTGAATCCCATGTATCCTGACTGGAAGACACCTCCTGGTAGGGGTCAACAGACACCTCATACCAGAGAGCTCTGGCTGACATCTGGTAGATGCCCCTCTGGGACAAACTTTCCAGATGAAAGATCAGGCAGCAATCTTTGCTATTCTGCAGCCTCCGCTGGTGATACCCAGGCAAACAGGGTCAGGAGTGGACCTCCAGCAAACTCCAGCAGACCAGCAGAAGAGGGGACTGACTGTCAGAAGGAAAACTAACAAACAGAAGGAAATAGCATTTCCACTCAAAGACCCCATCTGAAGGTCACCAACATCAAAGACCAAAGGTAGATAAATCCACAAAGATGGGAAGAAAACAGTGCAAAAAGGCTGATAATTCCAAAACCCAGAACACCTCTTCTCTTCCAAAGGATCACAACTCCTCGCCAGTAAGAGAACAAAACTGGATGGAGAATGAGTTTGATGAATTGACAGAAGTAGGCTTCAGAAAATGGGTAATAACAAACTCCTGTGAGCTAAAGGAGCATGTTCTAACCCAATGCAAGGAAGCTAAGAACCTTGAAAATAGGTTAGACGAATTGCTAACTAGAATAACCAGTGTAGAGAAGAACATAAGTGACCTGATGGAGCTGGAAAACACGCACCAGAACTTCGTGAAGCATTCACAAGTTTTAATAGCTGAATCGACAGTGATTGAAGGTCAACATAATGAAATAAAGCGAGAAGACAAGATTAGAGAAAAAAGAATAAAAAGGAACAAATAAAGCCTCCAGGAAATATGGGATTATGTGAAAAGACCAAATCTATGTTTGATTAGTATACCTGAAAGTGACAAAGAGAATTGAACCAAGTTGGAAAACACTCTTCAGAATATTATCCAGGAGAACTTTTCCAACCTAGCAAGACAGGCCAACATTCAAATTCAGGAAATACAGAAAAGACCACAAAGATACCCCTCGAGAAGAGCAACCCCAAGGCACATAATCGTCAGATTCACCAAGGTTAAAATGAAGGAAAAAATATTAAGGGCAGCCAGGGAGAAAGGTTGGGTTATCCAGAAAGGGAAGCCCATCAGACTACCAGTGGATCTCTCTGCACAAACTCTACAAGCCAGAAGAGAGTGGGAGCCAATATTCAACATTCTTAAAGAAATAATTTTTAACCCAGAATTTCATATCCAGCCAAGCTAAGCTTCATAAGTGAAGGAGAAATAAAATCCTTTACAGACAAGCAAATGCTGAGAGATTTTGTCACCACCAGGCCTGCCTTACAAGAGCTCCTGAAGGAAGCATTAAACATGGAAAGGAACAACTGGTACCAGCCACTGCAAAAACATACCAAATTATAAAGAATATGGACACTATAAAGAAACTGCATCAACTAATGGGCAAAACAACCAGCTAGCATCATAATGACAAGATCAAATTCACACATAACAATATTAACCTTAAATGTAAATGGGCTAAATGCCCCAAATAAGAGACACAGACTGGCAAATTGGAAAAAGAGTCAATACCCATTAGTGTGCTGTATTCAGGAGACCCATCTCATATGCAAAGACACACATAGGCTCAAAATAAATGGATGGAGAAATATTTACCAAGCAAATGGAAAGGAAAAAAAAAAACAGGAGTTACAATCCTAACCTCTGATGAAACAGACTTTAACCAACAAAGGTCAAAAGAGACAATGAAGGGCATTACATAATGGTAAAGGGATTAATGCAGCAAGAAGATCTAACTATCCTAAATATATATGTACCTAATGCAGGAGCACACAGATCTATCTATAAAGCAAGTTCTTAGAGACCTCCAAAGAGACTTAGACTCCCATACAGTAATAGTGGGACACTTTAACACCCCACTGTCAATATTAGATCAACAAGACAGAAAATTAACAAGGATAATCAGGACTTGAACTCAGCTCTGGACCAAGCCGACCTAATAGACATCTACAGAACTCTCCACCCCAAATCAACAGAATATACATTCTTCTCAGGACCTCATCACATTTACTCTAAAATTGACCACATAATTGTAAGTAAAACACTCCTCAGCAAATGCAAAAGAATGGAAATCATAACAGTCTCTCAGACCACAGTGCAATCAAATTAGAACTCAGGATTAAGAAACACTCAAACCCACATGACTACATGGAAACTGAACAACCTTCTCCTGAATGACTACTGGGTAAATAAAAAAATGAAGGCTGAGATAAAAATGTTCTATGCAACCAGTGAGAATGAAGACACAACATACCAGAATCTCTGGGACACATACAAAGCAGTGTGTAGAGGGAAATTTATAGCACTAAATGCTCACAAGAGGAAGCGGGAAAGATCTAAAATTGACACCCTGACATCAAAATTAAAAGAACTAGAGAAGCAACAGCAAATAAATTCAAAATCTAGCAGAAAACAAGAACTAAGATCAGAACAGAACTGGAGGAGATAGAGACAAGAAAGACCCTTCAAAAATTAATGAATCCAGGAGCTTGTTTCTGAAAAGATCAACAAAATAGACTGCTAGCCAGACTAATAAAGAAGAAAAGAGAGAATAATCAAATAGATGCAACAAAAAATGATATAGGAGATATCACCATGGATCCCACAGAAATACAAATTACCATCAGAGAATACAACAAACACCTCCATGCAAATAAACTTGAAAATCTAGAAGAAATGGATAAAGTCCTGGACACATATACCCTCCCAAGTCTAAACCAGGAAGAAGGCAAATACCTGAATAAACCAATAAGAAGTTCTGAAATTGAGGCAATAATTAATAGCCTACCAACAAAAAGAAGTCCAGGACCAGATGGACTCACAGCTGAATTCTACCAGAGGTACAAAGAGGAGCTGGTATCATTTCTTCTGAAGTTATTCCAAGTAATAGAAAAAGAGAGAATCCTCCCTAACTCATTTTATGAGGCCAGCATCATCCTGATTCCAAAACCTGTCAGAGACACAACAAAAAATGAAAATTTCAGGCCAATATCCCTGATGAACATCAACGTGAAAATCCTCAATAAAATACTGGCAAACAAAATCCAAACCAAAAACATCAAAAAGCTTATCCACCATGATCAAGTTGGCTTCATCCCTGGGATGCAAGGTTGGCTCAATTTATGCAAATCAATAAGGGTAATCCATCACATAAAAAGAACCAATGAAAAAAAAAACACATGATTATCTCAATAGATGCAGCAAAGGTTTTTGACAAAATTCAACACCCCTTCATGCTAAATACTGTCAATAAACTAGATATCGATGGAATGTATCTCAAAATAATAAGAGCTATTTATGACAAACCCACAGCCAATATCATACTGAAAGGGCAAAAACTGGAAGCATTCACTTTGAAAACTGGCACAAGACAAGGATGTCCTCTCTCACCACTCCTATTCAACATAGTATTGGAATTTCTGGCCAGGGCAATCAGTCAAGAGAAAGAAATAAAGGATATTCAAATGGGAAAAGAGGAAGTCATTTTTCTCTGTTTGCAGATGACATGATTGTATATTTAGAAAACCCCATTGTCTCAGCCCAAAACCTCCTTAAGCTGATAAGCAACTTCAGCAAAGTCTCAGGATACAAAATCAATGTGTAAAAATCACAAGCATTCCTACAGAGCAATAACAGACAAACAGAGAGCCAAATCATGAGTGAACTCCCATTCACAATTGCTTCAAAGAGAATAAAATACTTAGGAATCCAACTTATAAGGGACATGAAGGACCTCTTCAAGGAGAACTACAAATCACTGCTCAAGGAAATAAGAGAGGACACAAAAAAATAGAAAAACATTCCATGCTCATGGATAGGAAGAATCAATATCGTGAAAATGGCCATAATGCTGTAAGTAATTGATAGATTGAATACTATCCCCATCAAGCTACCATTGACTTTCTTCACGGAATTGGAAAAAAACTACTTTAAACTTCCTATGGAAACAAAAAAGAGCCCACATAGCCAAGACAGTCCTGGGCAAGAAAAACAAATCTGGAGGCATCACGCAACCTAACTTCAAACTATACTACAAGGCTATAGTAACTGAAACATCAGGGTACTGGTACCAAAATAGATATATAGACCAATGGAACAGAACAGAGGCCCCCGAAATAACAACACACATCTATAACCATCTGATCTTTGACAAACCTGACACAAATAAGCAATGGGGAAAAGATTCCCTATTTATTAAATGGTGTTAGGAAAACTGGCTACCATATGCAGAAAACTGAAACTGGACCCTTTTTTACACCTTATATAAAAATTAACTCAAAATGGATTAAAGACTTAAATGTAAGACCTAGGACCATAAAAATCCTAGAAGAAAACCTTGGCAATACCATTCAGGACATAGGCATGGGCAAAAACTTCATGACTAAAACACAAAAAGCAATGGCAACAAAAGCCAAAATTGACAATGGAATCTAATTAAATGAAAGAGCTTCTGCACAGCAAAAGAAACGATCAGCAGAGTGAACAGACAACCTACAGAATGGGGGAAAACTTTTGCAATCTATCCATCTGACAAAGGGCTAATATTCAGAATCTACAAAGAACTTAAACAAATTTACAAGAAAAAAACCAACGTCCGCATCAAAAAGTGGGCAAAGGATGTGAACAGCTACTTCTCAAAAGAAGACATTTATGCAGCCAACAGACATACGAAAAAATGTTCATCATCACTGGTCGTTAGAGAAATGCAAATCAAAACCACAATGAGATACCATCTCACACCAGTTAAAATGGCAATCATTAAAAAGTCAGGAAACAACAGATGCTGGAGAGGATGTGGAGAAATAGGAATGATTTTACACTGTTGGTGGGAGTATAAATTAGCTCAACTATTGTGGAAGACAGTGTGGTGATTCCTCAAGGATCTAGAACTAGAAATTCCATTTGACCCCGCAATCCTATTACTGGGTATGTACTCAAAGAATCATAAATCATTCTACTATAAAGACACATGCACACATATGTTTATTATGGCACTATTCACAATAGCAAAGAGTTGGAACCAACCCAAATGTCCATCAATAATAGACTGGATAAAGAAAATGTGACACATACACAACATGGACTACTATGCAGCCATAAAAGAGGATGAGTTCATGTCCTTTGCAGGAATATGGATGAAGCTGGAAAACATCATTCTCAGCAAACTATCACAAGAACAGAAAACCAAACAGCACATGTTCTCACTCATAAGTGGGAGTTGAACAATGAGAACACGTGGTCATCAGGAGGGGAACATCACACACCAGAGCCTGTCGGGGATTTAGTGGGTAGGAGAAGGTTAACATTAGGAGAAATACCTAATATAGATGATAGGTTGATGGGTGCAGCGAACCACCATGCCACATGTATACCTATGTAACAAAACTGCACCTTCTGCACATGTACCCCAGAACTTAAAGTATTAAAAAAAAAAAACTTGTTTTAAAAATTATGAGTCCTGGCCAGGCGTGGTGGCTCATGTCTGTAATCCTAGCACTTTGGGAGGCCGAGGTGGGCAGATCACGAGGTCAGGAGATCGAGACCATCCTGGCTAACAGGGTGAAACCCCATCTCTACTAAAAATTCAAAAAAAAAAAATTAGCCAGGCATGGTGGCGGGCGCCTGTAGTCCCAGCTACTCGGGAGGCTGAGGCAGGAGAATGGCGTGAACCCGGGAGGCGGAGCTTGCAGTGAGCAGAGATCTCGCCACTGCACTTCAGCCTGGGCGACAGAGTGAGACTCTGTCTCAAAAAAAAAAAAAAGTTATGAGTCCTTAAAAATGTGACAAACTATAGAATAATATACGACATTCTGATATGTAAGGTACACTTCCAATAACGTATATTATTACATGCCCCATATTAGATGAGCCTTAAACTTAATTTTTAATCTCTCACCAGGATATAAAATATGGAGATTGCCATATTTCATTAGGAAAATAAATATTGTAAAATAAGAAAACCTATCAAACCAATAAAAAGAGCAAAATATGTAATGAGAAAAATCCAGTGAAACTGAATGAGCTAGAATACCACACAGAGGTAGGGATGACATTACTTGCGTAAGACTGGTTGAGAAGAGTCATTACCAGAAGATCACAAATAATATGATTCCCTGCTCACAAATTTCAAAACAAATTTAAAAAACTCAAGAATATATTATGTAGGGTTACAAATATGCATAGTAAATTTTCAATAATCAATGAATTATTAATATAAACTTGAGGATAATCTTTAATTTGACACTAAAATAAGGATGTTAGATTGAGAAGGGAAATATAACAAAATGGGTATCATTGGAAATATACTGGATTTTGTACTACAGTGGTGGTTATTATGTTATCAAATAAATATTAGGTTGGTGAAAAAGTAATTGTTTTGCACCAACCTAATAATTAGATGTAATCATTACAGTGTTAGATAAAATAATAATAATAGTGAAATATTATTAATCAGTTATGTAGTATGACAAAAGATGAATATTGTAGTTTATTCTTATCCTGAAGTCTACAAACATATTAAAAATAAATGTCAGAACAGTTTGGTGCTGGTGATGAAACAGATAGACTATCATAATTCATACAAACACATAGAGGCAGAATCATGCTTATGGGAACAATATTCTTGATATATAATATATATATACAAATTTATGGATTTTCATAATTCCATATGAAAAGAATAGATAACTTAATAGAAGAAAATTTTAGAAAAAAACTTGTTAGTTTTATGTGAGGATTGTAGCTCAAGCAAAGACATAGGTCAACAAATTAATGTCATTCAGTAAGAATATATATGTATATAGGAAAATGACATTCTAGAGGAATGTATTTATAGGCAAAACCTGTCTGTCTTGGGCAATACATGCCTGGCTCATACAATTCCATCAACAAACATTTTTATAGATGACAGATATATAGATAATATAGAAAACGAACTGTCACATAAACAGAAAATTTTCAGCAAAGAAAACTCAAAAGACTAACGAATAGGTGTGTAGACAGTCAACCCAGTTGTAATTAGAAAAATAAAAAGAAACTATAGAGTTATAATTCCATGCACATAAGATTTACGAACGTTAGGAAAATGATGAATGCATGTTTTGGAAAGGGTGTGGAGTGCATGAAAACTCATGCTGGTCGTAATGCAGGCCAATACAACTGACCTGGAAGGTAGAGCTAATGGAATATACTGTTACTATTATTATTTTGACCAAATTGCTATCTGATAGATCAATTAAGACTAAAAAATATATACTTGAATTTATTTTCCTTTTGTTTCTCTAATATTATTTAATTTTTATGTAGATCTTATTTTCTGACTCATCAATATTTTTTTCTTTGTGAAGAACTTCTTTAATATTACTTTCAAGGCATGTCTACTGGAAACAAATATTTAAACATGAAATTACAGATCTCCATATTCCACCTTTTTTATATGAAACAGATAAGCTTGGCTTTAACTTAAAGTCTTTAACAACATTTTGTTATAATATTAAGATATTATTTTAAGTCAAGTGTAAATACAATTTAACAAATATTAAAGCATGTATTAATATGTATTAACTTAGATGTAATAATCCTTAATGGATCATATCTAAATAGTGAAAAGTTCCCTATGTAATAAAGTTAGGTATTTGGATTCCATAGTGACTTCTTTTGTAATCTCTCCATATTTCCATTAAATTATTTTTAGGCAGAAGTAATTTTTTACTTTTATAAAAATGTATTCTAATGGCTCTTTTAGTTGGTACTATTTTATTAAACTGCTGTGCCATCATCATTTGAAAGCTTTTTACTGCAGACTAAAAATGAATTTATAGCAGTTAGCAAGGAGAAAAATCAATGAAGTAGAAAAAGAAATAATTTTAATCATGGGCAAACACATTTTCATTAAACAAAGTCATTACATTATAATGAATCATCTTAATTTTTCTGCATAATCTTTTCATATAGCACTGAAGATTACATAAAAATCTAGGCTATATTCTTACAGTTTTAAAAATACAAATTCATTTCAAACTCACATCAAAAAAAGTTTATTTCTTTCTAATATTGGTTACATTTATCCTGTTTCCAACTTTTCTCCTTTTTCCTTTAATTTACCGACACCCTTCTTTGTTTTTCTTATGGACTAATGCTGTAGTATTGATACTATTAAGACAATCTATGCTAATAGTTCCTTTGAGAATTTGTTTTGAATCTGCTATGCCTAGAGTTTTATTTCTTCTTATTTTTATAAAGATAATTGACATAAACTGCATGTATTTAAAGTGTAGGTCTCAATAAGTTTTGACATAATTATACACTCTGGAACCTTCAACGCAATCCAGATTATTAACATATTTTTCACTTTTAAAAGTTTTCTTGTTCTACTTTTAGTACCTCCCTTCTATGCTGGTTTACTTTCTACTTCCACAGACAAACACTAATCTGCTCTTGTCACATTACATTAGTTTTCATTTCCAAAATGTATATACAAATTTAATCATATAGTGTGTACTCTGTCTTGTCCTGCTTATTTCTATCAGCATAATAATTTTGAGACTTGTCAGTGTCATAGCGTGTATCAAGAGTTTATTCTTTTTTATTGCTGAGTCACCCATAGTTGGATAAATGTATCACGATTTGTTTATTCTTTCACTTGTTGATAAAAACATATATGCTACCAACATGTATGTTGGTAATACATATAAAGCTATTTTGAAAATTCTAACATAAGTCAGATTTATAGTTGGGAAATTCAACAAGCCCTGTGTCAATAACTGAGAGAAATGCTAGGCAAAAAACCAATAAGAATGTTGACATGAACAATTCAAGATCTGAGTAAGACAGGATCTGAACCAGACAATTAACTGACAAAATCACATTCCACGGAACTATAGGAAAATATTTTTATTATTATTTTTTGTTTAATTAAAAAGAACACATAGACAATTCACCAAGAAAAACCACAACTTGGATCATAAAACATACTTTAACAAATAACAAATAAATAAAATGATACAGTGTAATCTCTGACAACAACAAAATCAAACTAAAAATTAATAACAGAAGACAACACAAAAATAGTCTTAACCATAAACTTACAGAATAAACGTATAAATAGCTTATGTGTCCAAGAAGCTTTAAAATTATTTTAAAAAGATAGAAGTGAATGAAAAAAGCACAACATATGAAATATAGGTGATTTGGCTAAAGAAGTTATTTTAGGGAAACTTCTGCTATGATATGATTACATTGGAAAAAAGAAAAGGTCTCAAATAAAAGTGTAAGTGTTTGATCAAGAATTCAGAAAAACAGATGCAAAATTACCTAAAAGATGAGGAAGGATAGAAGTAATAAACTTAAGAGGAGAATTCAATGAAATTGAAAACAGAAAAACAGTAGAGAAAAATCAATTAAGCACAGAGCTAGTCTAAAAAAAAAGTCAAAGTCTATAAGCCACTTGCAAAACTACCAGAAAGAAAAAAAAGATATGACATCTCTATTATCAGGATTCAAAAAGCAGACATGACTACAGATCCTGCAGCCATTAAAATATATGTAAGGAAATACTATGAAGAACTTTATACTGAAAATTAGACAGTTTAGAAGAAATTAACCTCTTCTGTAAGGCAACAAAAAGTACCCAATTCAAACAAAGTGAAATAGAGATATTGAATAATCCTACAACCATCAAATAATTGAATTTGTAATTTATCAAATTATCAAGGCTGATCAACTTTGTGTTTTTTTTAATAGCATTTTACTTCATTAATTGTGCTTTCTTTTACCTCATTTTGCATCTGTTTTTCTGGATTCTTGGTCAGAACTTTATATTTTTATGCAAAAAAAACTCTTCACCCAAATATTCAAGAAAAATTAATAGCAATTTTACACAGTATCTTCCAGAATATAGGTGAGGAAATTACACATACAAATTCATTTTATAAGCACACTATTACACTTATATGAAAATCACACAAAGATAATGCTAAAAAAGAAAACTACAGAATAATATCTCACATAAACATAGACACAAATGTCTTAACAAAATATTATCAAATGCAGTTCAGCATTGTATAAAACAAATTGTACACCATGAGCAAGTGTATACAAGGCTGTTTGAACATTTAAAAATCAAATAACCTACCACATCAACATGCTACAGAAGAAAATGCGTATAACTATATGATGTGATGAATAAACATCTTTTGACGTAATGCAATATCAATTCATGATTGTTAAAAATCTAAAAAATAGAAGAGAACTTTCTCCCCTTGTTACAAGATGTTTACAAAATCTACAGTCACCGTTATACTGATTGGCACTAAAATGAATGACTTTCCCCTAAAATCAGGAAAATATCAAGCACATGTGATCTGATCGCTCTTACTCAACATAGTGCTGAAAGATCAACCATAAAAATCAATCACATTTCTATGTACTGACAGGGAATATACAGAAACCAAAATTAAAGATACAATGTCATTTACAATGACTCCAATAAAAAATAAATACTTATAGTATTAGTCCATTTTCACACTGCTATAAAGACATATGTAAGATTCAGTAATTTATAAAGAAAAGAGGTTTAATTTCCCTTCTTCACTAACCTAGGAGGTTCTCCATGAGGACCCCTCCCCTGCAGTGGTCTTTTGCCAGGACATCCAGGTGTTTCCATACATCTTCTGAAATCTAGGCAGAGGTTCCCAAACCTCAATTTTTTATTTCTGTGCACCTGCAGGTCCAATACCATGTGGAAACCACCAAGGCTTGGCATTTGCACCCTCTGAAGCAATGGCCCAAGCTGTCTCTTGGCTCCTTTCAGCCATGACTATAGCTGAAGTGGCTGAGACACAGGGCACCAAGTCCCGGGTTGCACAGAGCAGCAGGGGCCCCAGGCCAGGCCCATGAAACCATTTTTTCCCCTAGGCCTCCTGACCTGTGGTGGGAAAGGCTGTCACCCAGGGCTCTGACATGGCCTGGAGACATTTTCCCCATTGCCTTGGCAACTCACATTCAGCTACTCATTATTTATGCAAATTTCTGCAGCAGGCTTGAATTTCTCCTAGAAAATTGGTTTTTCTTTCCAATTGTCAGACTGCAAGTTTTCCAAACTTTTATGCTCTGCTTCCCTCTTAAACATCAGCTTCTCTTTCATACCATCTCTTTGTGAATGCATAAAACCAAATGCTTCCAGAATAATGCAGGTCATGTTTTAAATGCTTTGCTGCTTAGACATTTCTTCTGCCAGATACCCTAAATCATCTCTCTCATGTTCAATGTTCCACAAATCTCCAGGGAAGGAGCAAAATGCTGCCAGTCTCTGTGCTAAAGCATAGCATGAGTGACCTTAACTCCAGTTCCCAATAAATTTCTCATCTCCATCTGAGACCACCTCAGCCTGGACTTTATAGTTCACATCACTATCAGCAGTTTGGTCAAAACCATTTAAATAGCCCCTAGGAAGTTGTAAACATTCCCACATCTTCCTGTCTTCTTCCGAGTCCTCCAAACTGTTCCAACCTCTGCCTATTACCTAGTTCCAAAGTCACTTCCACATTTTCAAGTATCTTTATAGCAGTAAGAAACTCTCTGTGATACCATTTTACTGTATCTGTTCATTCTCTCATTGCTATAAAGGTACTACCAAAGATTGGGTAATTTATAAAGGAAAGAGGTTTAATTGACTAATAGTTCCACATGCCTGGGGAGGCCTCGTGAATCTCGCGATCATAGTGGAAGGGGAAGCAAGCACATCTTACTGGCAGCAGGCAAGAGAGAGCATGCAAAGCGGGAAGAGCCACTTTTAAAACCCAGATCTTGTGAGAATTCACTCGCTATCACAAGAACAGCATTGGGTGAAACTGCCCCTGTGATCCAATTACCCCCTACTAGGTCCCTCTCCTGACAAGTGGGGATTACAAATTGTGATGAGATTTGGTTAGCCACACAGAACGAAACCATATAACTTACATACTTAACAAAACATGCACAGGCCTAGTATGCTAATAACAAGATGAAAAAAGGAATCAAATAAGATATGAACAAATGGAGAGCCACTGCATGCATGAATAGTAAAGCTCAACATAGTAAATATATCAATTTTCCTAAGTTGATCTGCAGATTTAATAAAATTCCTACCAAAATATTACCAAGAATTTGTGTGGACTTAAGTCTACTCTAAAATTTATATAGAAATGTATAGGGCTTAGAAAGCTAAATCAGTCATGACAATAAAAAAATAGAGTGGAAGAAATAAATCTACCAAATAATAAGGCTTACTATATAGCTTCAATAATCAGAACTATGTGATACTGGAAAAGAAATAGACAAATAGAACAAAAAAACAAAATTGAAAAGGCTAGAAATTGATCCATACAACTACATTCCACTACTTTTGGAAAAAATATAAATAAGGAATTTAATCGAGGAAGAGTAGTCTTTTCAGCTATAGCAATTAGATATTCATAAGCAAAAAATAAATAAAAATAAAAATAAAATCTTTATCTAAATGTCATAACTTTTGATACAAAATTAGCTCAGAGTGAATGATAGAATTGAATGTAAACATAAAATTTTAACACATGTAAAAACAGAAAATCTTTGGGATCCAGTGTTATGCAAAATGTTCTTAGACTTGCCATCAAAAGGACAATAAAAATAATAAATTTCACTTTATGAAAAATGAAAATACTTTGATCTGTGAAAGTTTACATGAAAAGGCTAAAAAGACAAGATTTACACTTGAAATAATATTTCCAACACATATTTTGGACAAAAGACAAGTAGTGAAAATATGTGAAGAACTCTCAAAACTAAATTTGGGAAAAAACAAACAAACATTCCAATCATACAATAGACCAAAGACATGAACAAGCATTTCAGGGAAGAAGATATACAGATGGCAAGTTTTCCTTGGAAAGATGTTCTCTGTCAGTACTCATTAGGAAATGCCAGTGAAAGACCACAGTGAAAAACAATGTGTCTGATTATGTATTATTTTGTCTATTTCTCTGCTTATGTATGGTTATATATAATGAAAATGAATTACAGGAATGATACAAGAGATGGATAAGAGGAATTAGGATTATTTTGGCGCTAGGAGAACTAGCACTAGCTAGGAGCTGTTATAGTGCTGTTTGAAAATAATTTGGATTTGTCATAAATGTATATTACAAACTATGGCATCCACTAAAAATTTTTTAAGTAATGAAATGCTGATAAAGGAGAAAACATGGAATCCTAATAATGCTCAATTAAAGCTACAAAAGGAAGAACAAGAGTGGGAGACAATACAGAAACAAAAAATCAGAGCAACAATTAGAAAATGCCACTTAATACAATACATATTGACACCGACATATCCGTAATTCTTTTGAACATCAGTGGTTGTTGCACCAATTAAAAGACAGAGACTGTCAAAGTGGATCACGAAAAAAGACCCAATCATATGTTGCCTGCCAGAAACATATTGATTAAAAGTAGCTATTTTAATGGCATACCTGTTAAAATAATACATAGAAACCAACCAGGAGGCAGACGGGACCGGGATCCCCCAGCCCATCCCAGCTGCTCTACCAGAACATGGCCAGACTGCTTCTGTAAGTTGGTCCCTGATTGGTCCCTCCTCACTGGGTGGAACCTCTCAACCAGGGCGTCCCCATCCCTACCAGTGTTTCCTGGCTGATAGAGATTTGAAAACTTCGTGGGACAGAGTTCCTGGAGGGAGAGGTGAGCTGCTATCTTTGCTGCTTGGGTGACTTAGCCCTTCCAGCCCCCATGCATTGGAGTGCCCAAGCAAACTGAAGGCAGAAGCAGTATCCCAGCACAGCACAGCTGCTCTACGAAAGTGTGGCCAGAATGCTTGTTGTTTTTTTTTTTGAGACAGAGTCTCCCTCTGTTGCCCAGGCTGGAGTGCAGTGGCGCAATCTCGGCTCACTGCAAGCTCCACTTCTCGGGTTCCCGCCATTCTCCTGCCTCAGCCTCCCGAGTAGCTGGGACTACAGACGCCCGCCACCACGCCCAGCTGATTTTCTTTTCTTTTTTTTTTTTTTTTTTTTTTTTTTTTTTTTTTTTGTATTTTTAGTGGAGACAAGGTTTCATCATGTTAGCCAGGATGGTCTTGATCTCCTGACCTCGTGATCCGCCCGCCTTGGCCTCCGAAAGTTCTGGGATTACAGGCGTGAGCCACCACTCCTGGCCCAGAATGCTTCCTTAAGTGGGTCCCCAATCCTCTTCTTTCTGAATGGGTGAGACCTCCTATCTGGAGTCTTCAGCCACCTCTTCCAGGTGTGTTCAGGTCGACAACAGATCTGAAACTGCCTGGGACAAAGCTCCCAGAGGAAAGAGGCAGGCTGCTATCTTTGCTGCTTTGCCGCCTTTACTGGTGATACCTCCAGGTGCTGGAAAATTCAAGGTGACTAGGAACTGGAGGGGACCCCAAGAAAATCACAGCAGCCCTACAGAATATTGTCCTATTAAAGAAAAAGAAAAAAAGGTCAGCAACCTCAAGATTTAAGGTAGATAAGCCCACAAAAATTAGAAAGGATCAGTGCAAGAATGCTGAAAACCCAAAAAGCCAGAGTGCCCTCTTTCCTCCACATGACCACATCACCTCTCCAGCAAGAATTCAGAACTGAGCTGAGGCTGACGTGGCTGAAAAGACATAGAATTCAAAATATGTATAAAAGAAAACTCCACTGAGCTAAAGGAGCATGTTGTAACCCAATGCAAGGAAACTAAAAATCATGATAAAACATTGCAGGAACTGACAGACAAAATAGCCAGTGTAAAGAAGAATGTAACCAACCTGACAGAGCTGAAAAACACACTGAAAGAATTTTATAATGCAATGACAAGTATTAACAGCAGAACAGACTAAATAGATGAAACAATCTCAGAGCCTGAAGACTGTATGAAATAAGACAAGCAGACAAGAATAGAGAAGAAAGAATGAACTTGAATTAACAAAACTTATGAGAAATATGGGATTATGTAAAGAGACCAAATCTATGACTGATTGGAGTAACTGAAAGAGATGGGGATAATGGAACTAATGTGGAAAACATGTTTCACAATATCATCCACTGTAACTTCTCCAACCTAGCTAGACAGGCCAACATTCAAATTCAGAAAATGTAGAGAGCCCTGGTAAGATACTCCACAAGAACATCATCCCCAAGACACATAATCATCAGATTCTACAAGGCAGACATGAAAACAAAAAGATGTTAAGAGCAGCTAAAGAGAAAGGCCAGATCATCTACAAAGGGAAGCCCACAGACTAACTGCAGACCTCTCAATGAATATCCTACAATCGAAAAGAGATAGGAAGCCAATATTCTACATTCTTAAAAAAAAGAAATTTCAACCTGAGTTTCATGTCTGGCCAAATTAAGCTTCATATGCAAAGGAAAAATAAGATTATTTTCAGATAAGCAAATGCTGAGGGAACTCATTACCACCGGACCAACCTTACCAGAGCTCCAGAAGGAAGCATGAAATATGAAAAGAAAGAATTGTTACCAGCTACTACAAAAACACACTGAAGTACACAGTCCAATGACACTCTAAAGCAACCACATAAACAAGTCTGCACAATAACCAGCTAAAACAATGAAGGCAGGATCAAATCCACACATACTGATACTGACATTAAATGTAAATGGGCTAAATGGCCCAATGAAAAGACACAGAGTGGAAAACTGGATAAAGAACCAAGATGCATCAGTATGTGGTCCTCAAGAGACCCATCTCACGTGCAATGGCACACAAAAGTCTCAAAATAAAAGGATGAAGGAAAATATATCAAGCAAATTTAAACTACCAAAAAGCAGGGGTTAGAATCCTAGTTTCTGACAACACAGACGTTATCCCAGCAAAGATAAAAAAAAAAAAAAAAAAAAAAAAAAAGGGCATCACCTGATGGTAAAGCATTCAATTCAACAAGAAGATCTAACCATCCTAAGTAGATATGCATGCAATACAGGAGCAACCAGATTTACAAAGCAGTTTCTTATAGACCTTTAACAATAATAGTGGAGTCTTTAATATCCCACTGCCAGTGTTAGACAGATAATTGAGATAGAAAATTAACCAAGATATTCAGGACCTAAACTCAGCACTAGATCAAATGGACCTGATAGAAATCTGCAGAAGTCTCAACCTCAAAACAACAGAATATACATTCTTTTCATTGCCATATGACACTTACTCTAAAATCAATCACATAATCAAAAATAAAATACTACTAAACAAATGCAAAATAACTGAAATCATAACAGCTTCTTGAACCACAGCAAAATCCAATTCGATCTAAAGACTAAGAAATGCACTCAAAACCATACAATTACATGGAAATGGAATAACATTCTTCTGAATGACTTTTGGAAAAATAATGAAATTAAGGCAGAAATCAAGTTCCTTGAAACTAATGAGAACAGAAATACACTTGTACCAGAATCTCTAGGACACAGCTAAGGCATTGTTAAGACAGAAATTTATAGCACTAATTGCCCACATCAAAAAGTTAGAAAGATTTCAAGTTTTTTTTCTTTTCTTTTTTTTGAGACAGAGTCTCACTCTGTCACCCAAGCTTGAGTGCAATGGCACGATCTCGGCTCCCCTCCACCTCTCCACCACCTGAGTTCAAGTGATTCTCCTGCCTCAGCCTCCTGAGTAGCTGGGATTACAGGCACATGCCACCACACCCAGCTAATTTTTGTATTTTTAGTAGAGACGGGTTTTCACCATGTTGGCCAGGCTGGTCTTGACCCCTGACCTCGTGATCTGCCTGCCTCAGCCTCCCACAGTGCTTGGATTACAGGAATGACAGAGGTTGCAGTGAGCTGAGATCACCACTGCACTCCAGCCTGTGCGACAGGAGTGACACTCCATCTCAAAAAAAAAAAAAGAAAAAGACAAAAGAAAGAAAGATCTCAAGTTAACAATCTAACATTACAACTAAAAGAACTGGAGAACCAAGAGCAAACAAATCCCAAAGGTATAAAAAGACAAGAAATAATCAAAATCAGAGCTGAACTGAAGGTGATAGACACACACACACACACACACACACACACACACACACACACACACCGTTTAAAAGATCCACGGAACCAGCAGCTGGTTTTTTTTGGGGGGGGTGGGGGGTGGGAGATAGACTGCTAGCTAGACTAACAAAAAAGAGAAAGAGAGATTTAAATAAACACAATCAGAAACAATACGGAGCATATTACCACTAACCCCACGGAACTACAACCATCAGAGAATATTATAAACACCTCTATGCATATAAACTAGAAAATATAGAAGAAATAAATAAATCTCTGAACACATATACCCTCTCAATACTGAACCAGGAAAAAATTGAATCCTTGAACAAATTGATAATAAATTCTGAAATTGAGGCAGTAATAAATAGCCTACCAACCAAAATAAGTTCAAGACCAGATGGATTCACAGCTGAATTCTATTAGCTATACAAAAAAAAAAAAGAATTTATACTTTTTCTGCTGAAACTATTCCAAAAATTAAAAAGAAGGGACCCTCCCTAACTCATTTTATGAGGCCAGCATCATCCTGATATCAAAACCTGGCAGAGACACAATAGGTTTAAAGAAACACACACACACACACACACACACACACACACACACACACACTCTTAAGGCCAATATTTTTGATGAACATTGATGCAAAAATCCTGAAAGAAATACTAGCAAAATGTATCTAGCAGCACACCAAAAACCTAATTCACCATTATCAAGTAGGATTCATCCCTGGAATGCATGGTTGGTTCAACATACACAAATCAATAAATGTGACTCATCACTTAGAACTAAACAAAAAACACACAATTATCTCAACAGATGCAGAGAAGTCTTTTGATAAAATTCAATATCCTTCATGTTAAAAACTCTCAATAAACTAGGTATTGAAAGAACATACCTCAAAATAATAAGAGCTGTATATTAAAAAAACACAGCCAACATCATGCCAAAGGAGGAAAAGCTGGACGCATTCCACTTAAAAAACAGCACAAGACAAGGATGCCCTCTCTCACCACTCCTACTCCAAATTGTATTGGAAGCTCTGGCCAGGGCAATCAGGCAAGAGACAGAAATAAAGGGCATTCAAATAGGAAGATACAAAATCAAACATCCCTGTTAGCAGATAACATGATTCTATAGCAAGAAAACCCCATTGTCTCAGCCTAAAAGTTTCTTAAGCTTATAAGCAACCTCAGCAAAGTCTCAGAATGCAAAATCAATATGAAAAAATTGCTAGCATTCCTATAAAGCAACAATAGTCAAGCTGAGAGCCAAATCACAAATAAACTCCCATTCACAATTGTAACAAAAATAAAATAAAATACCTAGGAGGTAAATGATCTCTACAAGAACTATAAGCTACTGCTCAAAGAAATCAGAGATGGCACAAACAAATGGAAGAACATTCCATGCTCCTACTTAGGAATAATCCATATTGTGGAATGGTTATACTTCCCAAAGGACTGTATAGATTAATGCTATTGACATTCTTTACGGAACTAGAAAACGCTATTTTGAAATTCCTATAGAACAACAACAACAAAAAGCCCAAATAGCCAAAGCAATCATAAGCAACAAGAACAAAGCTGGAGTTTTCATGCTACCTGCCTTCAAACTATACTACCAAAAGAGCATGGTACTGGTACAAGAACAGACACATAGTCCACTGGAACAGAATAGAGAACCCAGAAATAATACCAGACACCTATAACTATCTTATCCTCAATGAACATGAGAAAAACAATTGATGGGAAAGGATTCACCATTCAATAAATTGTGCTGGTATAACTGGCTAGCCATATGCAGCAAACTGAAACTGAAAATGCAGAAGGCTAGAACTGGACCCCTTTCTTAACGCCATATACAAAAAATAACTCAAGATGGATTAAACACTTAAATGTAAAACCCAAAACTATACAAACCCTGGAAGGCAACCTAGGCAATTCCATTTAGTACACAGGAATAGGCAAAGATTTCATGACAAAGATGCCAAAAGCAATTCCAATAAAAGCAAAAATTGACAAATGGGACCTAATTAAACTAAAGAGTTTCTGCACAGCCAAAAAAAAACAAAAACAACAACAACAACAAAAAAAACAAAAAAAAAACTATCTATCTATCTATCTATCTATCTATCCACATAAACGAATAAACTGAACCTACAGAATGGGAGAAAATTTTTGCAAATTGTATTTGAGAAGGGTCTAGTATCTGGCATCTATAAGGACCTTAAACAAATTTACAAGAAAAAAAAAACGAGCCCATTAAAACGTGGGCAGAGGACATGAATAGCCACTTTTCAAAGGAAGACATACATGTGGCCAATAGTCATATGAAAAAATGCTCAACGTCACTGATTATTAGAGAAATGCAAATTAAAACCACAATGAGATATCATCTAACACCAGTCAGAATGGCTACTATTAAAAACTCAAAAAATGATAGATGCTGGCAAGGTTGTGGAGAAAAAGGAACGTTTATAAACTGTTGGTTGGATTGTAAATTAGTTCAGCCATTGTGGAAGACAGTGTTGCAATTCTTCAAAGACCTAAAGACAGAAATTCCATTTGACCCAGCAATTCCATTACTGAGTGTATACCCAAAGGAACATAAATCACTCTATTATAAAGACACGTGTAAGTGTATGTTCACTGCAGCACTGTTCACAATAGCAATGAAATGGAATCAACCTAAATGTCAATCAATCATATACTGGATAAAGAAAATGTGTTGCCTATACACCATGGAATACTATGCAGCCATATAAAAATGAGATCCTGTCCTTTGCAGGGAAATGGATAGAGTTGATGGCCATTATCCTTAGCAAACTAACACAGGAACAGAAAACCAAATACCACATGTTCTCACTTATAAGTGAGAGCTAAATGATGAGAACACATAGACACATAAAGGCAACAACACACACTGGGGCTTTTCAGAGGGTGGAGGTTGGAAACAACTGAAGCGTCCATCAATAGATGACTGGGTAAAGAAATGTGGTGCATATACACAATGAAGTACTATTAAGTCATAAAAAAGAGATCCTGTCATTTGTAACAACATGGATGGAACTGGTGGTCATTGTGTTGATTGAAATAAGCCAGACACAGAAAGACAACCATATATTCTCACTAATCTGTGGAAGCTAAAATAAATTAAAAAAAAAAAAAAACTAAGGATGGTTTTCAGTGGCTGGGATGGGTAGGTGGGGGGCAGGGGAAAGCAGGGTTGATTAATGGGTCCGAAAAGTAATTGGAAATAATCAATAAGACCACTATTTGCTAGAACAACATGTTAACTATAGTAAAAAATAATTTAACTGTTTATACAAAAATAACCAAAACAGTATCATGGATTGCTTGAAACAAAGGATAAATGCTTGAGATGATGCATACCCCATATCCTGATGTGATTATTTCACATTGCATGCCTGTATCAAAATTTCTCATGTAACACATAAGTATATATACCTACTTTATACCCACATAAGTTAAAATAAAAAATTTAAAAAAACAAATTTTATATGGGGAAGCAAAATACCCTGAATAGCCAACACAATATTTAAGATGTGTAAAGCTGGAGAATTAACACTACCAGACTTCAAGACACTAGAAAGTTACAGTGATCAAGACAGTGTGAAATCAATTGACAAAAAGAATAAACAAATATATCAGCACAATAAAATACAGAGCCCAGAAAAAAATCACATAAGTTGATTCTTGACAAAGGAGCAAAAGCAATACAACTGCAATAGGATAGTCTTTTTAACAATTTGTGCTAGAACAACTAGATGTCCACATATTAAACACATGAACCCACATACAGACCTTAAACCATTTACAAAATTAACTCAAAATGGAGCACAGACTTAATGTAAACACAACATGTTAAAACGTCTTGAATATAACATAGGAAAAAATCTCCATGACTTTGGGTTTCATGATTTTTTGGGTGTAACACCAAAGGCACAATCCATGAACACATGATTTGATAAGCTCAACTTGATTAAAATTGAAAACTTTTTCTCCATGAAAGGCAATGTCAAAAGAATAAAAAGATAAGCCACTGACTGGTAGAAAATATTTTCAGAAGACCTATTCAATAAAGAACCTCTGTTTTCTGAATTCCTTTGTCTACCCAAAATTCGTATGTTAAAATCTTAACCCTCAAGGTGATGGTAGTAGGAGTTGGGACCCTTCAGGAGGTGATTAGGTCATGAAGATGAAGTTCTCCTAAATCAGGGTAATTCCCTTGTAAAAGAGACACCAGAGAGCTCATTCATCCTTTCCACCACGTGAGAACACACACTTACAATGATTAAAATAAGGACTAGGGGAAAACACTGTATGCTGGCAAGACGATAGAGAAACTGGAGCAATTGTATAATGCAGTTAGGAGTATAAAATGGTTTAGGAAAGTAGCCTGGCAGGTGTAAATCCTTTATGACTTGAGAAAGATTATTTTGAATTTTAAACATTATCTCAGTATTAATGGTTAATAGATCATTATTATGATTATGCCTCTACGGGCCTTCAAGATCAAACATTTTTTTTCTGAATTAGTTGCATAAGATACAAATGCAACTGGCAAATGCCCTGACTTGACTAACTGGTTATTTTGACAGTGCCCTCCAGCTTTTTATGCTTTTAGTTGATTTCCTTGGCAACATGGCATCATGACTTATTTTCATCTCATGTGCCTTCCCTTTGGAAGGACATGTTGATCTGAATATTTGTCTACTTCTTTTCATCAAATCCTAATAGTCCTCTTAGATTCAAATATCACTACATGACAGAGGAACCTGTGATATTTATTAATTAAATGTATACATTCTATGAATATATGTGACATGTTAGCATTCCTTAAATAAATAAGCCATATCTTAATTAATATAAACATCTATTCAGAATTCAGTGGAGAGTTGTAACTGATGCTGTTTTCAAGCAATGTACCATCCAATCGAGTGAGTTACATTAGATAACCCCTAAACTACATTATATACAAATATACATTTATATGTAACACACACTCAACAGACCTTTTAGAAATGAGTGAAACAGATTATTAGAAATGATGGGAAAAATTGTCATTTCTTCAGAACAGAAAAAATATTGTTATTATTCATATTTTCACAGACTGGTTTGCAAACTCTTAATGATTAGCCATAAAGATAAATTTTGTGGAAGAAGGCAGGGTTTATTGGACTTCATCTGTTATCTAGCCATGTATCAGATATTTATCCATAATTTTATACTATAGCAAACATTTTATTATATGTTAATTTTACTTACTTCCATTTTAAGATTAGGACTCTATTTGTTGGCTGGATAAAATTACTTCAAAAACAGTATTGTTTATAAACTTTCAGTCCTATATAAAAGTAATTATACAAAAAAATTTCAATCATGTTATAACTATGATCTATTTATTCAGAGCTTTTAAAGCATTTTTTTATTATAACTACCCTTAGTAATTGAAATATTTCTTTATTGCAAAAGAATCATAAAAACTATTCCTGTAAAAATTACTTTAGTATTGTTATCTTTGTCAAAACAGCATATATAATTCTTATATTATGTATTTATGTAATTATAATTCATTCTGTGGCAGCCCCTAAAATCTTTCTCTGCCCAAGAGTACAGGCAGTGAAGAATTTCTGTCCTTTGTGCCTCTAAGAGTAATAAAACTTCTTTCTTATAAGCTATCTTGAAACATATTATTTGTCTAATTGAAAAACCTTAGTTTAGCTAATGAAAATGTTCTCATTAATTATCAAGAGAAACTATGTAAGCATGTTCATAAACAGAATAACAGCGCTGGTTCAGTGTTATATGATTAATAGTATGTAATAAGATGTGTAAGCAGCAATGTAAATTATGTGGTATGTAATAATTTTATACATTATAAAATGGTGTTAAACAGAGCGTACTAACATTTCTTCCCAATGATTAATTTGACAAGCTTGTCACAATTGCCCTGTCATCTGCTCACATACTGTTCATGACAGGTCTCTGACGCCAACTCATAATGCTTGGGAAAAATTAGCATTTGGCCTTTAGCAGCCAAACTCAACTAGACTTATAAATGAAAGTTACTGCTCCAGAGCTGATATTTTTTTCAAGGTTAAATAAACAAAATGTAATAAAATTAGATTGTAAGTAGAATGCGTAAGTGCATACCTGCATTGGAACCAAAACTCATAAAACAGATATATGTCAAGCATGCCTCCAGAGTTATAAAAAATACACAGAGTTTGTTGGTTTATTTATAATATATCCACTATGGAAATAATTTCATATGGTTACCTTTGTAATTTTCCATTTACAAATTACAAATCCAATTACCACTTTAAAACTTCACCACCCATTGGAAACATTGTATACTTTTCTTTAATGATATAGTCTTATAATGCTAATTTTTACTTACAATTCTAAGTTGCGAAATTTTTCTTTTATAAAAACGGGTTTGTACTCACTTTGGCAGCACATATACTAAAATTGGAATGGTACAGAGAAGATTAGCATGGGGTCTGTGCAAGGATGCCTCGCAAATTCTTGAAGTGTTCAGTAGTTTCATGAAAATGGCCATACTGCTTGAAGAAATTTATAGATTAGATGCTATTCTTCTTCATTATTTTTATCTTTTTTTCTTTATTCAACTTTCTGTGAACTTAACTTTTTAAAATTTGATGCTTTAAATTATGGTCTACTGGTCATTCTTCAACGATAAGTCAATTATCCTCTAGTTTCCACTTCAGATACAACCTGTAATTTTTATATGAAATATTCTTATCAATAATTGTAAGGTTCTAAATATTTTCAGACTTTTATCATGCTTTCTTTTTTCTTTTTTAGTTATATAATTTCCTTTCTGTATTTTTACATAGTAGATATTTAATATGTTTGTTTTTTTCATATTATTTTTGCTCAGAGAAGTTGTCAAGTACACTATTTTTATTTCGCTTTGATTGGAACTTGCTGCTTGGCCAGACATATGGGCAAATTTCACAAATGTCACATTTGACTTGGAAAAAATTGGCTTTTTTTGCATTTATGAGTGGGATGTTCTACACATAATAAGCTGCAAGATAAATGAAAAGTTTACCTCTTTTTGGTGGCTATGAATCTAGTCCTTCTATCTCTGACACTGGGGAGGGTAGGTGACTCATGGCCTCTGCCGCTATCCTTCATCCACCACTGCATTTGTGCCAAAGCCACAATTCCCCCAGGAGGCTTCCAGACAATGCCTGACCTATTCCTGTATTATGTTGACTTCCTCTACTACACAACTTTGGTTCGAGAACTGCATTGGTTTTCTAGGGCTGCTGTAACAATTACCAAAACGAGAGTGGCTTAAAACCATTGAAATTCGTTCTAATCGATATTAGATGAAGAAGTCTGAAATAAGTCACACTGGGCTGATATCAAGAAGTCATCAGAGCCGTTCTTCCTCCAGAGGCTCTAGGAAATAATCCGTCCCTCGCTTATTCTAGCTTCTGGTGACTGCAGCATTTCTTGACACTTGGGGCTGCATCACTCCAATCTCAGCCTCATTGGTCATTTGCTTTCTCCTCTTGTGTGTTTGTCTTCTCCTTTTTCTGTCTGTGTGAAATCTCCCTCCTCTCTCTCAGGAGGACACTTACTAATTTCATTATGCAAGATAATACCTTTATCTTAAAATCCCTAATTTAATCTTATATTTTACCAAACAAAATTATATTCTTAGACTCTGGTAACTAGGGCCTGATATCCTTGGGGCACTTTTTCAGCAGACCACATGGGCTCCATTTTAGCATGGACACAATCTTCTTAAAGCTACACTTCAGTATAAGCATTGACTCTCCACTCCTCCTTTCTTTATTCACTCCTTTCACAGTTAGCAGATATGCATTGCCATCTGAAGATTCCTCCAGCTTACTTCCTTTACCCTTGCTAGACATTTTCCTCTATTAATATTCTGCTGGTGGAGTATAGATTTTCTTAACCTCTACCATTGGCCAACCCAAGAACTGGCACAAAAAGCACGTTAGTGGTGTGGCCACAGTAGCAGAGATGGAGATTAGATACAGGCTGGGAGAATGGACTCCCACTTGTGAAGTTAATTGTACTTCTCAACACCTAGCCACTTAGCAACAAAGACAAATGCTGAGTAGCTAATATGGCATTATTAATTGAGTAGACAAAAAAAAAAAGCTTGTTAATAAGTTGAATTCATTGGGAATTTTCCACCTGAAAGGTTTAACATTTTATTCTCAGGAGATAGATATCTATTCTGGCTCAGGGTTTACAATTTCAGTCCACAAATGTTCACCCAACACCATTTTCCATCTGATTCTCAAATTTCTAATTCACAGGTATGGAACCTCATACAGTATAGCATCTAACCAGGGACCCACCTGACTGTGAATAAAGTGCAGGATGGTAATGATTTGCATAGTGTCTGGAATAACAGACATTCAACAATTATTTGCTAAATTAATGAATTATGTCTTTTTTATTCATGTAATGTAATGTTATTAGGAGTGTTTATTGGCATAGAAAGTTAAATATAGCTCACTTTTGTTGACTCCAGGATTTATGCCATTTAACTCCCTTTCGAAAAATGATTTTCCATTTTATAACTGAGAAAAAATGAGAACAAAGAGCTTACATTAATTCCCTAATTCAAATAGTTATTAGATGTAAGACTAGGTTTATAATACAAGTTGTTTGACTGTAAGACCTCTCCTTTTACCTAAAACTTCTTAGAGAAAACTTCATGAGCCTTTGTCAGCTAGAAATTGAGACCAAAGGGTAATATATGCAATTCGTGGTGAATTATTCCATTTAGAGATATTCTTTGAAAATTCAGCCTTCTTCACTCTGTTAGGAAAAATTTTAAATAATGGAACTGACAGTAGTGATGTTCCCAATATCATAACAAACAGAATCTTCAAGTGGAAATGAAAAAATATCATAAATAATTACAAAAGCATTGTGATTATAAGGTTTTATAACTCTGGCCCAGGTAATTGGTCTTAGGACAATATTGTCCAAAAATAAACTTGATATTGAAGAAATTACAATATAGTATAATTTCCAAACAACTAAAATTATTTCATGCAGCCTAGAACATTTTTTCATATAAAATTTCTAATTTAACAATGCATTTTTGAAAAAGGCTGAGGAAAACTAAATTGTCAAGTGACCACATTGTTTTACCTAGTATTCTATAAGGTAGCATGTACTTACTACACATTTAGATATTGTCTAAACATACCACAGTGGAGATAATGTTTCATAAATAAGCTAGACTGCCTCTTGTAGCACTATTCCTCCCCCAACAATGTTTCCCCAACTAGATTTATAATTATTTATTAGGTTGGTGCAAAAGTAATTGCAGTTTTTGCCATTAAAAGTAATGTAATAAAAATATAAATAATATAAGCAATATAAAATACAAAAATAAAATATAAATAAATATAAACAAGTAATATAAATATATAAATAAAATATAATATAAATAAAATATAGATTAATGAGTTTAAATGTTGTCTTTACCACAGAACATTTCAGAGCCTATAAAATAAGAGTATGTGTATATCTGGGTATATATACACATTTAGATATACAATTATATCTATAAATATAAGTACATAACTATAAAATTATATGACCATATGTATTATATATAGTAATAATGAATAATAAAATTTCTAAATAAATTCCATAAAATAGTATCTGTACTGGCCATTTAGAAGTCGAAAGGTCAAAATGAATTATAATTTTAAAACACTAATTTATATACTTTATGTTTTATATTTTGTAGTTTTATAATAATAAAATACTCATTTAAGCAAAATGCTTTCATTTTATAAAGGAAAAATATCTTCCCTAAACGTGTTTTATATAAAACAACTATGTGTGCTTCTTAGCCTCTTTCCTGCAGTCAATGCTCTGATCTACCAGGATGTTTGTTTAGTATTTGTATATTTAGGTTGCACTTTTTCTATCTGCAAGTATTTTTTAAAGCAATTATAGTCACAGTCCTCTTCTGTCTTCTAAGTTGTTCTTAGACGGTACTTGCTCAACAAAATATGCTTGTAGCAACCAAGCACGCGGTTTCCCAGCAAGTTCTGTAGCTCTCAGGTGGCCAGGTACCTTGCCAAGAGCAGCAGGCGACCCAAAGTTGCCCTCGCTCCAGAGAATTCTCCTAGCACCCTAGTGCAAAAATTATCTGTTATTCAGTGACTGAAGCCTCTCCTTCTCCAATGAACTCTGAATCGTAGACTTGATGGGGCCTCTTCCAAATTTATTCCACTCCATTGTACTGTTTGTCAGAGCTACAGCTAGTGGCTGTCCCCTACATTTGTAATCCTTGCATTTCTTAGTGTCCCCTACATTTGTAATCCTTGCATTTCTTAGTGTTTTCAATGTCCCTTTACATAGTCAATCTCCTTTTACTAATGAATAATCCTTACTTTTAAAATTATTTTTTCAGATTTCTGCCTGGACCATAACTAATACAAAATTGAACATAGTTGTTCAATATTGTTAAATTCTTCTCTACTTGAATTCCTAGGCAAGCATTTAAATAAAAATTTTTATCACTGAGAACATTTGCTGGCTATCATAGCAGAAATTAATTATTGACTGGGGATTATTTGAAGAACCAGTAGTTTCCTTTATCTATAAGACAAATCCTCTGTCATTGCCATGATCAGCGCACCAACAGTTTCTTGCATGTCATGTGCTATTCTATGACGTATGGTACCATCACTGACACCAGTATTTCAGATTGACTGCAAGTTTGTTTCAACTGTGTTTTAATATCAGTTAAAAACACCAAAAGAGAATTCAGGATAGATGTGAGTTGTTCATTTCCCTTGTTAAGTGGTAAGGTAGGAGATTGGGGAAAGATACTTGGAAAAAGGGAAGCATACAATCTTCTGGGCCACCTTGACACTTAGGTGCAAAACAGTTTGAGAACAATTAACAGAAGAATTTTGATAATCCTATAACAGAGTATATGTATTCTATGTGAATTCTGAGTTCTAAAAAATCTTAAAATAATCAGGGCTTATTGGAAAAATAAGGTTGAGCCAATCCACTTGAACCTGGTACAACTCAGAAATAACACACACACACACACACACACACACACACACACAAATTAGTAAGGGCAACAATAACAAAAACACTGAGAAGTTTGAGAAGTAACTCCATTAGCCAACGTAGGAAGCTCACTATGGCTATAGATTTCCTACAGGGATAGAAAAAAATGTGCCCTCCAAAATGAAAAATAAGGTAGAAATACTAGCTTGCGGACCCTGAGATAATGCAGATGTAGCTGCGCCTCTAAGCACTAGAAGAAGTATCAACAAGCTAGGAGCCTAGAACTATTCCAAGGTTAGGGATGTGCACCTTTAAGGATAATCTGTTACAGGCATTCATTTTATTATTTTTTTAAAAAAGAAAGAAAATAAGGATTCTCTCTGGGCAGTAGCCAAGCTTTCTCCTTTTCTGCTAAAGATTTTTAGTTTAATTTATGATAATCTGGCTCTCTTTACTATAGAAAATAGTTCATATTCTAACATATGTTCACTTCATTCAACATAATTTCCCCATTTTTCAATTGCTGATAAGTTAATTGATATTTTAGAAACATGGCAGAATACAATATATATGAAAGTTGAATACCTGGAAATTGAATTCCTCCAAATTCTCTGCTTAGTTAACTTTTTGACAGCTTTGCGTTATTCCTAGAGATACTCACACCTCAGTTGGAAGTCTAATGGCTTATACTATTGATTACTATATCATTTTGTATACTGTGAGGGAAGATTCATGGTAGAAATTTATGTGGAACATAAACGCAAAGCTTGATATATAAACCATACGGATAGGACAAATATGTTAACCACGTTTCCTTGTCTTTAACTAATTAAAAGATTACAGCAATAATCTTCCATGTGAACTATAATACATATGTTGTATCCCATGCATTTTATTCAGTTTTTTTAGATGAGTGAATGGAAGAGGGATGGAAGGATTTAAAGGATGAAAAATTTTACAGTTTGTTCCTTTCTGTCTTGAAAAATTTTTTTAAATCAGAATTCCCAACTCTTAGAATACCTATAAACTAAAGTGTATATAGACATAAATTTTTTAAATGAATTTGGGATATGGAAAATCATATATACATTAGTTGGAAGAGAAAACATTTGAGATATGAGTAACTTTATTAAGTTTATTTTAGTTACTTCCAAAATAATGGAAAAGGAAATCTCTTAGAAGTTGCTCTTGGAGATATTCTATGATTTTTGATAATCTGTAGAACATATCAGAATGAACTAATTATGTGTGGGATTAAAGAGTCCCACATTCATTATAAAAAGCCAATCCTTATTAAAATATCAAGACTAATAAGCTGGTTAAAATTGGCATTTAATAATAAAATGTCATCAGTCCCTACTGTAGACAGTTGTGATTCTAGGATTGCAACATATCTGGATAACTTCCTTATAAATCATTTTAATCATTGGATAATTAATTTTTAAATAAAACTTTTAGACGATTGATTAGAAGATTGATTATATCATCATTTATTTGAACTTACTCTTGAATAGACTTTGTGTTTATGAAACTTATATATGTTACATTATGAACAATTTTATTTATTGTGTATGCTGTCTCTCCAAGAGGGAAATAGAATGTATGTCTAACATTAATGGTAACCCCAGTAACAGCTTGGAAATATATTTATTATAATATTATAAGATTAACTCAGTGTCCTGAACAAGACAGAAATGTGTTGCTTGGATTCTTTCAAACATCTACCTAAAATTAAACGTACATTCCAGTCACATTAGAAAAATATCAAAAACTAAGTCAGAAAAACTTAAGAAAGTACAATTAAACATATATCACAACTGAGTGAGAAAGTGAGAACTCTCTGAGCAGCCTATATCTTCAACCTAATTTTCATTTTTATTTATATTTTTTATTTTGTGTGCTTTTTTTCTTTTTCACCTAATCATTTGAATTAAAAAGGCTACATAACAAATGAGCTATTCAACTAGAAGGCATCACAATATTCACACCAAAATACTGGTATTATTGAATGAATAGCTACTGGATATATTTATCGATTAACAATATTAAAACTTGCCAAAAAACTCCTGTTTCTCAGTTAAAGCTTTTATTTGGTAAATATGTATACAGTGATATGACCATTAATAAAATGTATGATGTAATAACAATGTATAGTTTATTTTTAAAATTGTAATCAACAAATACAGATTATATGTATTTATTGTGTACATGTTGTTTTGAAATATATACACTGTGAAATAGCAAAATCAAGCTAATCAAGATGCATTTTCTCACATACTTATTTTTGTGGTGAGACCACTTAAAATCTATTTTCTTAGCAATTTTCAAAAATACAATACGTTTTTATTAACTATAGTCACAATATTGTACAATATGTCTCCTGAATTTATTCCTCCTATAGCACTGAAATTTTTTATATTTTGGCCCACACGTCATCAGTCTCCTTCCTCTCCCCCAACTCCTAGTAACCACCATTCTACTCTCTATTTGTGTGAGTTCAACTTTTTTACACTACTCATATAAATGAGACCATGTGATATATGCCTTTCTGTGCCTGTCTCATGTCACTCAACACAGTGTCTCCCATGTTCATCCACATTGTCATAAATGACAGACCTTTTTTCTTCTTTCAGGCTGAATAGTATTCAAATATGTATATATAATACATTTCCTTTATCCATTTATTTGTTGATAGATACTTAATTTGATTACATATCTTGGCTACTATGAGTAACACGGTAATGAACATGGAAATCTAGTTAACTCCTTGACATACTGATTTCAATTTCTTTAAATATATACTCTGTAGTGGGATTGCTATATCTTTTGGCAGTCCTATTTTCAGTATTTTGAGGAAGCACCATACCATTTTCCATAATGGCTGTATTAATTTGCATTCCCACTAACAGTATGCAAGTTTTCTCTTTTCTTTGCATGGTTGCTATTAGCTATCTTTCGCCTTTTTGAGAAAAATCATTCTAACAGGTAAAGGGTGCTATCTCATTTTGGATTTAATTTGCATTTCTCTGATAATTAGTGATGTGGAGTATCTTTACGTATGCATGTTGGTCATTTGTATGTCTCATTTTGGGAAGTGTCTATCGAGGTCCTTTGCTCATTTTTAAAATCTGATTATTTGTGTTCTTGTTATTGGGTTATTTGAACTCTTTATATATATTTGGATATTAATGCCTTATCAGATGTATAGTAGGCAAATATTTTTTTCCATTCCATAGGTTGTGTCTTCACTCTGTTAATTTTTGCTTTTGTTATGCAAAGCTTCTTAATTTGATGTAATTCAATTTTTCCACTTTTGTTTTTGATGCTTGTGTTTTTGAGGTCTTATTCAAAATATACTTGCACATCCCACTTTTATGGAGTGTTTCCCTTAGGTTTTCTTCTGGTGGTTTCATAGTTTCAGGCTTTACATTTAACCATTTAATTTATTTTTATTTGATTTTCACATATGGTAAGAAATAGGGGTCTAGTTTAATTTTTATCAATGTGGATATCCAGTTTTTCCAACACCATTTGTTGAAGAAACTGTCCTCTTGCCAATATGTGCTTTGGGCACCTTTGTCAAAAGTTAGTCAGCTGTAAATGCATGGATGTATTTCTGCGTTCTCTACTCTGTCCTATTGGTCTATGTGTCTGTTTTTACACCAAATAACATGTTGTTTTATAGCTTTGTAGTATATTTTAAAATTAGGTAATGTGCTGTCTCTAGCTTTGTTCTTTTTGCTTAAGATTGCTCTCGCTATCTTTGTTTATTTTGTTTTGTTCTGTTTTACTTTTCCATATGAATTTTAAGATTCATATGCAGCTATAAAGAAGAATGAGATCATATTCTTTGCAGCAACATAGATGGAGCTGGAGGCCAAAATCCTAAGTAAATTAATGCAAGAACAGAAAACCAAATACCATATGTTCTCACTTATAAGTGGGAGTTAAACATTGAGCACACATGGATATAAATATGAGTACAATAGACACTGCAGACTCCTAGAGTGTGGAAGGAGGGAGGGCTTGGTTAAAAGACTACCTATCGGGTACTATGCTCACTAACTGGGTGACAGGATTTGTTCTCCAAACCTCAACATTATGCCATATTTCCATGTAACAAATGTACTCATTTAACCCCTGAATCTAAAATAAAAGTGAAAAAAAGCTTACATTTATACCAAAGTATTTTAAACTGATAACAACTTTCATTACAAAGAAAATAAGCACGTAAACAAAACTGAAAACCACTACATTTTAACTCCATCCTCTCACACGCATTTTGATTTTTTGACGTTTCAATTTATATCTTATTATTTGGCTTCTCTTGGGTGTATCCCACTGGAGCAGCAAATTGTTGTAGTTATTATCATTTTTAACCATTTTGTCTTTTAGTTTTTTACCTAAAGACATGAGTGGTTTATACATCACAATTCATCCACAATTCATACAGTTCATCCACTGTATTTTTCAGCTACAGGCTTTCTGTTTGATTTTTTAATTATTATGATTATACTTTAAGTTCTAGGGTACATGTGCACAACATGCAGGTTTGTTACATATGTATACATGTGCCTTGTTGGTGTGCTGCACCCATTAACTCGTCATTTACATTAGGTATATCTCCTAATGCTGTCTCTCCCCCCTACCCCCACCCCACGACAGGCACCAGTGTGTGATGTTCCCCTTCCAGTGTCCAAGTGTTCTCATTGTTCAATTCCCACCTATGAGTGAGAACATGCGGTGTTTAGTATTCTGTCCTTGAAATCGTTTGCTGAGAATGATGGTTTCCAGCTTCATCCATGTCCCTACAAAGGACATGAACCCATCATTTTTAGGGCTGCATAGTATTCCATGGTGTATACGTGCCACATTTTCTTAATCCAATTTATCGTTGATGGACATTTGGGTTGGTTCCAAGTCTTTGCTATTGTGAATAGTGCCACAATAAACATACGTGTGCATGTGTCTTTATAGCAGCTTGATTTATAATCCTTTGGGTTTATAATACCCAGTAATGGGATGGCTGGGTCAAATGGTATTTCTAGTTCTAGATCCTTGAGGAATAGCCACACTGTCTTCCACAATGGTTGAACTAGTTTATAGTCCCACCAACAGTGTTAAAATGTTCCTATTTCTCCACATCCTCTCCAGCACCTCTTGTTTCCTGACTTTTTAATGATTGCCATTCTAACTGGTGTGAGATGGTATCTCATTGTGGTTTTGATTTGCATTTTTCTGATGGCCAGTGATGATGAGCTTCTTTCATGTGTCTGTTGGCTGCATAAATGTCTTCTTTTGAGAAGTGTCTGTTCATATCCTTTGCTCACTTTTTGATGGGGTTGTTTGTTTTTTTCTTGTAAATTTGTTTGAGCTCTTTGTAGATTCTGGATATTAGACCTTTGTCAGATGAGTAGATTGCAAAAATTGTCTCCCATTCTGTAGGTTGCCTGTTCACTCTGATGGTACTTTCTTTTACTGTGCAGAAGCTCTTTAGTTTAGTTAGATCCCATTTGTCAATTTTGGCTTTATTATTTCAATCTCTGTTAAATTCTTGTGATGAATTTTTGAATGGCTTCTTTACGTTTTCTTGAAGTTTGTTAAGATTCCTAAAAAGAGCTATTATGAATTCTCTGTTTCAGACATCAGAAATATCTCTCTCTCCAGGGTTTGTCATTGGTCCCCTATTTAGTCATTTTGGTGAGATCAAATTTCCCTGAATGGTCTTAATGTTTCTGAACATACATCAGTGTCTGGTTGTTAAAGAATTAGTTATTTGGTCCAGGCTTTACAGTCTGGCCTTGTTTGTACATATCCTTCTTCAGATGACCTTCCAAAAATTCAAAGGCAACTGACTATTCAGTTCCCAAAGCCTCTAGTCACTGCAACCATTTCAGCACTAGAGTGTGCCCTAAGCCCAGGTTCACTGTGCCATTATTGCAGATTCTGAATTTCCCAGCCCTAATGGTTCTGGGGGAGACCAAGGAGAGTTTCACAGGTTCCCAGACAAAGTCCTTCTCTCATTTTTCACTTTTTTCCCTCAGTAAGAGTCTCTCTCTGTGCTGCAGTATCTGGAGTTAAGGGAGGGATAACAGACAATCCTGAGGCCACTATAGCTGATCCCATGCTGTATCATCCCTAGGGCTTATACAAAACCTGCAGCCACTATGGCCTTACTGTTACTGATATTTATTTAGGGCCCATGGTTGCTTTAGTCAGCTGGTGGTGAAGCAGGCTGGGACTCCAGTGTATCCTGCCGAAGCAGCAGATTCTCTTCCATCTTGGAGTGGGTCTAGAATCTGTCCTCCAGCGTCAGCCTGAAATCAATGTCATGGGATAGTGCCCCGTGCTGTGTTTTACTGTAGTGAGGCTGGTGCTGAGCTTCAGATAAGTGTCTGCACTCTTTTTCCTCTCCCTTCTCCAAGAAGACAGATTATCTCTCTTGCTGCACAGCCTGGTGCTGGGGTAGGGGTGGTGTAGGCAATGCAAGACTGTCTTTTCTACTCTCTTTATTGTGTATTTTCTTGTTATTATGCTTAAACCATATCCTGTGATCTCTTACTTGGTTTCTTTAGTTTTTGAGATGGTGTTTTCTTGCATAAATAGTTGTTTGAATTGATGTTCCTGAGGGAATTTTCACTAGAAGGTTTTATTCTACAATCTTGTTCTGTCTTCACCCTACCACTTTAATAACATCTTTACCCTGATTAACTTTTCTTCTTTCAGATAACACCACAACTTCTCTGCTCATGTCTTCATAAAAAGTTCTTGAAAGACTTGGCTTCATATGATGTCTTCCATGTACATTTTCCCATGCTCTTTGATCCTTTGTCTAAACAAGCTTTAACTACATGGTTTCACCAAAATTGCTCCTGTCAAGCTCATCAAAGACCAATATATAACATATGGATCATCCCCGTTCTTATTACATCCTCTTCCCCCCCTACTTCCAGCTCACCACATTTCTTCTCCTTTTGTCTTGCCTATTCAGATTCTACACTCTCAGAATTGTTATACTTGTTATATATATAATTCCAGGATTCATTCCTCTTTGTTCCTTTCTTTACTTTCTCCCTTGACGATTTCCTCAAACTTATATCTCCAAGATATGGCTTATCTCCTCACTTCTGTTTTTTTTTTTTTTAAATGATAGCAAATGGCTAGCATAGGTTCATGGAGGTACAATTAAAATATCAAAATTAACATATCTTCAACAGAAATTTATGTCACACAATCCTGACCTCAAACTCCACCTGTAATTTTTCCCTGCGTAACTAATGATAACCCCACCATTCCAGTTGCTCAGCTTTAAAACTTGGAATCATTCTTCTCTCTTTCTCTTGACACATGTATCTGAATACTCCTCATGGCTTACAATTAAATAATCTCTACTTCAACACCTCAGTTTAAGTCATAGGAATTTATTGTAGTAACCTTTTAACTGGTGCCCTGATTCTACTCTATTCTTTATACCACCCCCAGAATTATTCTTCTAAAATGCAAATCATTCAATTACTTAGCTTCAAATTCCCCAGTGGTTTTCTTTTTCTTTTTCTTTTTTTTTTTTTAACTTGTGTTTTAAGTTCAGGGGTAAAACTGCAGGTTGTTACATAGGTAATCTTGTGTCATGGGGGTTTGTTGTACAGATTATTTCATCACCCAGGTATTAAGCCTAGTACCCATTAGTTATTTTTCCTGATCCTCTTCCTCCTTTTATCATCTACCCTCTCAAAGGCCCCAGATTGTGTTGTTCCCCTCTATGTGTCCATATGTTCTCATAATTTACATCCCGCTTATAAAGAACATCTGGTATTTGATTTTCTGTCCCTGTGTTAGCTTGCTAAGGATAATTGCCTCCAGCTCCATCTATGTCCCTGCAGAGGACGTAATCTCGCTCCTTTCTATGGCTGCATAGTAGTCTATGGTGCATATGCACCACATTTGCTTCATCCATTCTATCATTGATGGACATTAAGGTTGATTCCATGTCTTTTCTACTGTGAATAGTGCTGCAAGGGAAGCCCAGTGGTTTTCTGAGCAAAAGACAAGTATAGATGGCTGAATGCTACCTAACTCTGATCTCTTTCTGACCTCATTATTACCCTCTCTCTCTCTTCTATAGCAGTACCAGACTCCTTACTGATTCTGAAAAATGCAAGGCATATCCTGTCTTGCAACTTTTGTTTTGTCTTTTGCCTCTACCTCAAATTTCTTCCCCCATATATCTATTTCTCCAACCTCTTCACCTCCTTGACATTTTTACTCAAATACCGCTTTCTCAATTATACCTACACCTTCCATCAATGTGGAAAATTGCATTTTACCTTCCCCATGACTCACGTGATACTATTTATGCTCATATATTTTTTCTCTACATTATTTATAACTTTCTAATATGTTACATTAACATGACTTTAAATTTATAATATACTACATTATTTATTATATTGTCATTATCTTCTTTCCAACTAGAATGTGTAATACAGAAATCATTTTAACTTTGTTTTACTGATAGACTCTAAGTGCATAGAAGAGTCCCTGCACATTCACAAATATTTATTGAATAAATTAATAAATAGCTGAATGTATATAGTATACAAATGTATTCATCGGTGACATTTTAAAGCATATACAATCATGTAAATAAGCAAGAATTAGATGATAAATAAATGCCCGCACTAATTAGATATTTTAATTTCTTTCTACAGAACAATTAGCCATGTTGAATACATGTGGATTACTTTTGATGAGGAAACATTTATAATATAAAAAATGAAAATAAAATTTATACTTTTAAATTTCAAATAATTTAATATCTGGATGTCAAATTAAGTTGAGTTTGGTGCCCTTGAAATTTAATAATTTATTGGTATATGAATCATAAGATCACTGTATCATTAAGAAATATTAGTTTGTGAATATTTGATATAAGAAAACTGACCTGTTAGATGTTATATTTTGGTGTGTTAGATACTTAACATAGTACAAGAAAGTACACAGTTAATTGTATTTTAATCTAATTATAAATATGCATTATTTTCTTTAATTTTATTATTAAAGTGTAAAAAGTCTTTCGTGCTGGGCGCGGTGGCTCACGCCTGTAATCCTAGCACTTTGGGAGGCCGAGGCGGGTGGATCACCAGGTCTGGAGATCAAGACCGTCTTGGCTAACATGGAGAAACCCCTTTTCTACTAAAAATACAAAAAATTAGCCAGGCATGGTGGCGGGCGCCTGTAGTCCCAGCTACTCGGGAGGCTACAGCAGGAGAATGGCGTGAACCCGGGAGGCAGAGCTTGCAGTGAGCCGAGATCGCGCCACTGCACTGCACTCCAGCCTGGGCGACAAAGTGAGACTCTGTCTCAAAAAAAAAAAAAAAAAAAAAAAAAAAAAAAAAAAAAAAAAACTTTCGTTATTGAAGAATAAAATGCACTGTAAACATTCTAGAGTTTGAGCTAGATGGTATAGATTCTAAGTCTAATTTCACCCCTAAGTGCACCAGAAAGCAGAGCAAGATGAAATATTTATTTTACTTACTTGAAATTCTTCACATGTAAAATTTGAGAGTTCAGTTATAAAACATCTTAGTTTCTTTCCAGCTTGAGAATCAATGATCTTTTTATTTTACTTTGTTTAGACATAAAAGTATATATTTTAATAATTTTGAGGTGAGGTGAAAACTACAAGCTTTACGCTATAGATCTAAGTAATATATACGTCTATATAATAATTGCCCATATGTTTCTCCTTAAACTTTTACATACATAACAGTAGGTGTGTGGAGAACAAAAGAAAAGCATAAACTTCATAATTAAAGTTGCAACAGATTTGTGAAAAAAATTCAAAAGCTTCTTCTCTTCTATGAATTATTATATCACAATTTTTGGTCAAAATTTTAGTATCAAAGGATGCTTTGATAAAAAGAAATAAAAATATATTAATTTAACTTTGATAATTGCAAAATTTTATCGTTTTCTTTCTTAAATTTTAGCAGTAGTCTTGATATATTATTTTAATAAAAATTATATTTTCTGGCTTCATACTGTTTTCCAAGTGATTGTACCAATTTACATTCTCACCAACTGTGTAAAAGCATTTCATTTTCTCTACATCCTCATCAAGATATCTCGTAATTTTAATTTTAATTTCTCTGATGTTTAGTGATTTTGACCATTTTTTTCATATGTTTTTTGGCCATTTGTATGTCTCCTTTTAAAAATGTCTATTCATGCTGTTTGGATGAATAGACATGTTACATTTTTTTGAGGTGTTTGGGTTCCGTGTATGTTATGGAACAAGACATAAGTCCTGTACCAGATGCAAAGTCTGCCTGTATATTTTCTCCCACTTTGTAGGTTATCTGTTCATTCTGTTGGTTATTTCCTTTGCCTGTGCAGAACTTTTTTAGTTTAATTAAGTTCCATTTGTCTGTTTTTCTTTTTTGTTGTTGTTGTCGTTGCCTATGCTTTTGAGTTCTTAATCATTAATTCTTTGCCTGGACCAATGTCCAGAAGTGTTTTCCTGAGGTTTTTCTTCTAGTATTTTTATAGCTTCAGATCTTATATTTAAGTCTTTAATCCAACTTAAGTTGATTTTTTTTATATGTGGTGAGAGGTAGGGGTCCAGTTTCATTCTTCTGCATATGACAATCCAATTTTTCCAGCACCATTTATTAAAAAGTGTGTCTTTTTCCCAGTATAAGTTTTTCTCAACTTTGTCAAATATCATTTGGCTATGGTTAAATGGCTTTATTTTGGGGTTTTCTATTATGTTCCTTTGGTATATGTGACTAATTTCACAACTGTATTATGCTGTTTTGGTAAATACAGCCTTGTAGAATAATTTGAGGTCAGGTAATGTAACACTTCCAGCTTTGTTCTTGTTGCTTAGGAATGTTTTGGCTATTTGAGCTCTTTTTTGGTTTCATATGGATTTTAGGACTGGTTTTCCTAATTCTGTGAAAAATGACACTAGTTTTTTGCTGGGGTTTGCATTGAATCTGTAGATTGCTTTGGACAGTATGGTCATTTTAACAATATTAATACTTCTGATCCATGAGCATATGATTTTTTCTATTGATTGTGTCATCTACAATTTTTTTCATCAGTGTTTTGTAGTTTTTCTTGTATAAATCTTTCATATTATTGTTTAAATATATTCCTATGTATTTCTTTCTTTGCAGCTATTGTACATGGGATTGCCTTTTTGATTTTGTTCTCAGCTTGGTCATTATTAATGTGTAGAAATGTTACTGATTTTTGTACATCGATTTTGTATCATGAATCTCTTCTTAAGTCATTTATCAAATCAAAAAATTTTTATAAAGTCTTTAGAGTTTTTTAGATACGAAATCATATGATTAACTGTTCTTAAAAATACTCTTATTTTGATATGTCTGCATAAGCACACAAAGAAGGGACCTATTGTATACATAGAGACTGAATTCAACTTTGTCAGGAAATACATAAGACAATCAAATTCCAAGTTGGGGAAGTATTATGTGGAATATCTATGAGAGATAAATGGTCCAATTGTATAATATTTTTACATAGATAAATAATTATAGACTACTGTTAGTGTTTAGTAAATGTGTTCTGAATTTACACAAAATACTCTCTTAGGCAAAACAATGGAAAAGAGCAGGAATTGCATTCTCCATGCCTAAAGTTTACATGATTCTTTAGGTGTTTTCTTTCTTTTTTCAATCTCTTTTATAACATATTGCCTAGGACCTGTCCATTGTAAATAATTATTAACTATTGCTTTTAAAGTGACATTGAGGTAAGCATAGGAAAAAGGGAATTTTAAGTGGGCATTTTGCAGTTTTCATTTTCATAAGCCTATATATTTTTGGAAGTTTCTAGTGTTACTTATTTGAAGATCTACCACCCAGCTCCCTGCCTCCAGTACCAGTGTCAAAAGAATTGATAGAATATATCCACTAACATTTAGAACATGTTACATATGAGAAATTAAACTAGAGAATTTTAGTCCTTATCTAATTAAATTCTCACTACAACATAAGGTAGCTATTTTTATCCCAATTTCGCAATGAAGAGTCAATGTTTTGGTTTAAATTAATTACCTAAACCTAAAAAGTCATTGAAATTTTTCTACCATATACACAGGTTCTGATAGGCACCCTACACAGGTATGTGTATGTATTCATAATAAATGTAAGAGTGCTCTACTATAGATTTTACATAGCAATTATTCAATGTTCTTAGAAATTTGATTCTAATAGATGATTAGCAAAGGCCAATTTAACTACGATTTCTTTTTTTTTAATAATTTATCTCACTTGTAATATTCTGGCCACTAGAATGTCAGTATTTTAGAGAAATCAATCCTATTAAGTATTTTTGGTGTAAACAAGCAACATATAACATCTTTAACATTGACTTTATATTACTTTTAATTTAGAAGTAAAAACTTGTTCTCCAAATAGAATGTTGTGTTTCTTATATGAAATTTTGTATTTGTGTAACTTGCTGAAACGTTAATATGGAAATGATGATGTTAAACAATACTTTTGATAACTCTCTAAGTGTAGTAGGAATCACGATTTCTGAAAAAGAAAATTAGTTATGTTGGTAAGATTATTGCATAATTTCCCACAGGATCTCTATATCAGAGTTCTTTTTATTATCACTTAGAACAAGTTGTCTACGTTCATTTTAAATTTAAAGTAATGCCAAATACAACATCATAAGGCAGCTCACAGAACAAGCAAAGACATCTGTTAATGGTACCATGAATAGTTATGAACTGTGTTACTGAAAAGCCTTTGCTAGCAAAATATTGCTTCCTAATTTATTTTACAGCAATGAAAGCCTCATTTTTCATAGTTTTGAAGTTGCATTCAAATATTCCAATAATTTCGATGCAATCACTTCTATACAGCAAATTTTATTACAGAATATAAGATGGAATTGCTAATGTTCTCTTGATTGATAGCTTCTCCATCACCAGTTTTTTTCTTACCCTTTTCTTGCTATTTTAATGTTCAAATAATATTTATGTATTTTTAATGCAATTTAGAAAGTCTTATGTGCAAATTTAATATGAATATCAAATACATAAAATTGAAACATTATAAATGTTCTCTTGTTGAGCTCTGGGGCTGTCACTTTTTTCCATATTTTTAGTAGCTGAAATAATTTTATACAAGAAAACTGAAACTTTATGAAAATATTCTTACACTTAATATTTACTTTAAAAATATATAAATAAGAGATAAATAAAAATGGCAATTTCCCTTATAGAACAGAATAATAAAAATATGTTACAATGTGTGCAACTTTACCTTTTTCAAATAGATTATTTACCACTTCCAATCACATGTTAGGGGTAGAGATTATGTTGACATATATGAATTTATTTTTATTCCTGAATCAGAAAGCGTAAAATAGAATAATTTAACCCCAAATATGTAACTCATGACTTCCTAGTCAAATATTAGTGTTTACCTAAATATTGTATTTTGAGATTCAGTAAAGTTTTGTAGAACAAATTATTGTTATTTCATCTATAAAATTGTAACGATAACAATATTATTTGACAGCACATTTAGGTATATGTGTAAATGAGTTTATTTCATTTCAAAATGCTCCTAGATATAAACAGTTAAGGTTTCATTAAAATTAAATAGAAAAGAAGCAGCAGCATTACAAGAGTGTTTCATGATAATAAGACCATGATAGAAATTATAAGTAATGATATGTTTTGTAATGTAAGAAATAACATGGCATGTTAGGAAAAAGAGGATGTAGGTTAAATGTGCAAGTCAGACAATGACATCGGCATCATCATCATCATCATATTGATGTTGTTGTTGCAAATCTAATATTATAATTTATACTTCAATAATATAACATGCCAAAAATATTTTTCAGGGCTTTAGATACAGTTATATGTCTGATTACAGAATAACTGTCAGGAAAATGCCATTGTTATCTATTGTTTACACAAGATGAAAAATATTGTGAAATCATACAACTGATATATGATGACACCAGGATTTGAACCCAACTTGACAGTTACATGAGCCTATCATTTTAATTGTTAAATATAAAGAGTTAAGTATAATAGTTTTTAAAACTTGATTCTTTTACAAGCAGACCACAAGTGGAAAGGAAAGGCTGTACATACGAAGCTGGAAAACGACTTCTTAACTAACCAGCTGATACCATGATACATCTTCAGGTAGTCATCTCAAGCTACATACGGCTCTTGACAGATGCTGTAGCTTCTTATCTACAAGAAAGTGGAGTGATGAGTGAGCCTGCCATGCCATGCTGTCTCTACTCAGTGGCTAATGAAACTGTCATGACCACATATTGGGAGCAAGTAACATGTTTTGTATTTCAGTTCCAAGATTTAATTGTATGGACAAATGGATAGTATGTCAACTTCCACAAACATTGGTTCTTTAAGGTGAGGGGGTTCCTCTTGAAAGGTAATGTATTTTTGACTATGGAGAATGCAGTCAAAACTGACAGTGGCCTCTATTTTTGCATCATTGAGCACAAGCAGTGATTGAATGACATAAAAAGCACCCTATAATTGGATATTAAACCAGCTGGGATACCAGTGTTCTAACATCACCTGGGCTCTCTACCTCTGGTCAAATGTACCTTAGAGTCACAAGCCAGTAGTTACTTCGTTAATACAGCCAGCTAAACCCACCTGAAGACAGTGTAGAAAAGAAAAGGACACAACCCACCATCTCCCTACTGCACTCTTACCCAACAGATGGAAATGGAACTATGACAGTCTTCAAATGTCCCTTGGAATAGTAATCAAACTCAAGTGTCCTTGACTCAAAACATTTGTAGATGATCACCACTGAGAACTTTTATGTTGAAGTCAGTAAATCTGCTGTGGTGCTGCTCATTTTTTTGGTTGTCATGACTACCAAAAAGTATGTATACACCAGACAACCTCTAGCAACTAAATATAGTTTCACTGACTAGTCCTTAAATTGGAGCTTTACAAAGTGCAGCTGAAGGGCATGTCTCCGCAGAAGACAATACCTACATTAGAGGAGAAGCTTTACTTCATAGATTAAGATCCCATGGCACTCTAGGGCATTACTTCCACTACTTCAGGGATCATGTATTAATAGGTCGGACCCCTTTTGAGCTCCAGGGCAATTTTCTGTGTCACTTTTATCTGATATTCCAACCTGTCAGTGACATTTGGGTAGAGTGACTCTCTAGCTCAAATCTTGTACAGCCAACTTTGTTGTAATATAGTCCTAACACTTTATTCCAAAACTGTCTCAATCTTTCTGAATATTGCAGAGCTCTCCCCCAAACATGAACATTACACAATTGTACATTCTCTTTAGATCCCATGAATATTGTATCCAAAAAGAAAATATTCAATAAGGAGCCAGGAAATGAACTCTTATACTCACGACCAACGCTGTGAAAGAGAGACGAATAGCTCGTAAAATCAGCAAATCTGATTTCATGATTACCTTTTTACTTGTTTTATATCTTGTGTATTAGAGAGATATATTATGAGTAATATTAAGAGTAATTGGTTCACAAAGTTATGGAAGATGAGAGGTCTTACAATCTGCCATCTGCAAACAGGAAACCCAAAAAAAACCTGTGACGTAATTCAGTCCAAGTCTGAAAACTTAAAAACCAGGAATGCCAATGTAAATTGCCGTCCAAGGGCAGAAGAAGATGAGATGAGATGACCCAGTACAAGCAGTGAGGTAGAAAAAAATGGATAAATTCTTCTTTTTCTCTGCCTTTGATTCTATTCAGGTCCTCAGTGAATTTGATAAAGCACATCCACAAATAGGAAAGGCATCTGCTTTACTTAGTTCACCAGTGCAAATAATACAAATAATAATCTCATCCGGAAACACCTTCGCATACACCTCCAGAAGTAATATCTAATTTGGGAAACTCTTGTCCCAGTCAAGTTGACACGTAAAATTAACCATCATATCCTGTAACTTAAAGTTATAATTTTTTAGAATTCTCCAATCATAGGCGTGCACAGGATTTTATATCCCCTTTGGGAAAATGGAAGTGAGTCTAATTTATCTTTATAGGTGGATCTGGTTTCTCATGGTTCTAGAAATATAAATATAAAGTGTTTTCCCTGGAAAGAGGACAGATATCTTGGAAGTTAGAAAAAAAAAAAACTAGAAAACCACATTTGCCATGTGTAATTTCTGGTGCCATATCTCGTCTGCAGGGTTATGAGTATGGACCAAGTTGACACCAGGGGAAGAAAATAATTGCCATATGACTCAACACATCTATGCTATGCCTTTTATGTCTGTGCTAGGTACATATGTAGACAACTGGCAGGCTCTCTGAACTAATTTTTAGAATGAGGCATGGCAGAAATTAGAAGAAAAAAGAAAGAGAGTAAGGAAAAAGGCTCTTTGCCCTAGAAAAGTTATTTTGCAAATACAGTCCTGTTGTTTGAGAGTGTCAATAATTTTGACCAAAATTATAAATTTTAAAGTGTTCTCAAGCTACTTTGATATTTAAAATAGTTTTTTAAAAAATGGTCTCTTTCCTGTCCAATCAATTTTAATATTATTCCTTTCTTACAAATCAATTATTATTATTTTTTGCTTTTCCATGGGAATTAAACAAAAGTTTAGAGTAAGCATATCTTTACGCTTGGTCAGAAGCATGGTCAGCTTATTTTCACATAAATTTCCAAGTGATAGAGGTATATTTCTACACGAACATTTAACAAGCCTTTCGAATTAATTTTGATTTCAATTTGAATACACTCATATAATTCATGCTTTGTGTTCAGAATTACGCACACCATAGTGGTCTAGCAAGGGAGGATGCTTGCTGTCTAAGGCAACATTTTTGAGGCCATTCTGCAGAGTCCTAGGAAATTAGTAGGTCCTCTTAATAAACGTCTGTGGGCAAGGAAATTTGAGAAACATGTATACCAGGTTTCTCAAATTGTACCAATCTTATCTGGTCTAACTATATTTTTTATTTACACTTCATTGATTATTTTTCTTCTTTTAAATTCAAGCCAACATTAATAAACCTGGAGATTTGAAATTATAGCCCAAATGTGTATCTTCTCTGGAAAGATCTGGCTACATTTGTTGGCATTTGTGTTTGATCATGGCTCTACTACATTAGGTCACACCCTCTAGTGCCAGCCTCCTGGCCTTCTCTGCATGCTTACTTTTGTTATCTGCCTAGTTTCAGTAAGGCTTTGATTTAATGTTGCCTGCTTCATATCCATCCCAAAGAGTTGTAATACACATTAAAGGTCTTGGCTATTTGATTTACTTTGTTTAATCCAGCATTTACGAAACAGTTTTTAGCATGTGACACAATGACTATTGGCATACCCACTAGAATTCTGTGAAACAGAACATAAGGGAGCATAGCGTCAACTGGATGGCACACAGAGTTAGCAGTAGGACCTTGAGTTCTATATGTAGACTGACAGTTGACTTTCTAGCAACATATCTAGCATTGGTAATTCAGTAAATAATTTCAATGGTGTTGCATTCGTTAATCTCCTGCTATGTAGTATCTTTTATTTTTTAATAACGTTTATTTTTTTCAAAAAAGTTGATACTGAATACATTGCCTATCAATTTATTTATTTTTTTAAGAGTCAGAGTCTCACTCTGTCACCCAGGCTGGTGTGCAGTGGTGTTATCATGATTCACTGCAGCCTCCAAATCCTTGGTTCAAGCGATTCTCCTGCCTCACCTTCCTCAGCAGCTAGGACCACAGGTGTGAACCACCATATCCAGATTATCATCTTATAATGTAGAAAAAAATTGTTAATACTTGAGAGGTAGAATGGGTTAGTGGGAAAAAAGATGTATTTAGTTAACATAAAATCTTCTTCTGCAAATATACTAAGGTCTTAGAATATACTGAATTTTGTTTTGTTTATGATGCTTTGATACAGAATTGATATCCCACTTTCTACAGTCTATCTTCAGACATTAATAAGAGAGTGGTGAAATTAGAATCGTGTATTTAAACACTAAAAAACAACTTTGAGAAGTAGCAGAACCAGTCTTTCACTGATGACTGTAAATATTGTTGGAAAAATTTTGTAAATACAAGAAACTCTGAAGGACTCTTAGTGTCTGTGTAGCTTTATTTGTATGTATAGTCATTAATAATATTTTTTCATTTAATAAAATTGATTCTTTTTATGCTTTCTGCATTTTCATATTCACAGTTCTAAACTCTTATTTTTTGTTTTCTTCAACATTTCTAACTTTTCAGAGAAGTATTTTGTCTAAATTATGTATAAAAAGTAACTGGCATTATGAAAACAACAGATATTAAGCATTGTAAAAATGTATGTTTATTCAATGAGTTGAGTGGATTGCAATTCAGTCATGATTGAGGATGATAGAAATAATTTTCCCTTTACCTATATGATATTTCAATATGTATGTACTAGAAACAGCTTGAAATTAATATTATGATTTTTTTACAACAAAAGTTTACCTGACTTAAGTATGATCAGTTTTAAATAACTGTATTGTTCAGGTGAGAATATTAACCACTTCAAATGACTGATTGTACTTAATAGTACTTATTGGAAGCAACAATAAATGTATACGTACATATACACACACACACACATACACATACCCACACACTAGCCTGTGTAATATGCATATAGACACTAGCTTGAGAGCAAAATTATCAGATACCTTTACACAAACAAGGATTATTTTATTAATACTTTCCCTAAAAATAGATAATATTTTCAAACCAAAAAATGTGTTTTTTTTTCTACTATACGTAAAAAATAATGTTTGCAGTTCACCCTAACTGATATCTAGGGAAAGCTTTTACACTTAGGCATTAAAGTTTCAAAAGTCCAAAAGCAAATGCTGACAACAGCTCTGGAAATAGAGCATAGGTCAAAGTCTGAGATCTGTTGCACTGAAATAGCTCTTAAAAGCATCCTCAGTGATCTACATGTTTCTAAAGCCAATATACACTTCATAGTTTTTTCATTCATCATGGTAGACTAAGCTCTGCTTTTGAATAATCCCTTTACTTAGAAAATACAGAATAATTATCAGCTGCTGTAAAAACAAAATTTTATTAACATATTCTTCTGAAAACGTAAAAATCCTCAGAAATCATGCAGTCTCAATTTAGTTTAAACATGCTAATAATGTCATAATCTTTAGCTTGCTGTTGAATTTTTTTTACAGTTCTGCTGATAATTTCTGAAAGCAAATCCTCTAAAATAGAACATACTTAAAATGAATTAGGTAGAGTATTAAAATAGTTCTGTAATTACTATGAAACTTATTTCAGTGTTTCATTTATGGAGTAGCTTGAAATGCTCGTTTAGTCAATTATGTATATATATTTTTAAACATGTTTTAAAAAGCCATTCCAACCTTGTTGAAATGTTTTAGAAGTGCACACACTCATACTACATCAAGTAAAATAGAATTAAGGATTTTCCTTACAATGTACATTTCATTTTGTCCAGCCTAAGACAGATCTTAAGCACACGTTAGTATCTTAAAGAAACATCAAAGAATAACTATACCCAGGGGAGAGGATAGTCTTACTACATCTGTCTTACTGAAAATGCTGACCCAGGACACATGACTTCTTTTTCAAAGATAAGAATGCTAAAATACTCAAACTCTGATAAATCTGTTTCTTGGCTTGCTATTAGAATGTGGTCAGTTCAACAGTATTTAGTAACAAGATGTAGAACATATGATCTTTCAATGTTTTGCCTTTCTGAATATTTTATTATATAGAAAAATTTGAATTATCTGATATGACTGAAGACACAATTAAGTTAATATACTGATTGGTTTAGCAATATTATTGGCAATAATTTCTCTTTATCTTTCTATTCTTTCGTATTCCTGAAATGTAGTGTAGAATTTCCAAAATATAAAGAATCAAAATAGCACTATGAATAAATAATCTTGCTTCTTTTGTACATATATATTCACTGTAACAAGTCTAATAAGTTCTATTCTTAATATAAGATAGAACTCATGTATGTGATATAAATTCAAGTAATTTGTAATTATATTGCAATTTAAATTAAATAACTTCACAATACGCACTAACAAAATATTTTATCCAATAAGGAATATTATAATAAAGTCTAAATTAGCAAATTGAAAACTGTTTAAAATTAAATATTAAAATCATATATTTTAAGTTTTAAAATGTAACAGAATGTGGAATAAGAAAGAAGTATCTGGAAAGGTTGATTATTCAAATTGAAAGTAGCTGATGACTTTTTTGCGGGGGGCACAGGACACTTAAACTCACACTTGACTAGACTTGAGGATGCTTTCTGCTTTTATTTTTAATGATAAAAATAGAAAAAAAGGAAAGACATTCAGATATATTAACATTGTGATTTGACACTTTTCTTTCTATTTCTTGAACTTTGTTCATTCTTCATCACTTAACTTCTATCTTTTCATCTCCCGTACCCAGTGCCTGTGAAAGTCCTTGAAATGTCAACTTCTTATAGTTATCACAGTGGTTATGTTCATGTAGTTATAGAAATAGCCCTGTTAGAGGGTAGGAAGCTTGCCGACTTCTGAAATTAGGCCAAAATCACACTTTCTTGAGGGAGTTTTTACTTTGATAATAATTGAATCATAATCACACCTCCCCAAAACACTAAGCACAGTGTTTTATATGCTTATGTATAGTAAAATTCTGAGGTTTTAAAGAAGCTATGGTTTGGGATTTGGGTTTACCCATAGTGTTTGTTGCAGATTTTTCTAGGAAACAGCCATCATTCTGCCATCGAATGTTTGTACTATTGTACACATAGGCTTGTTAGTAACATAAATAAAGCTGCTTATTCTAATGGTGTTCAATTTAACATATCCTCCTATTCCTGGACAAAAATTTAAGCTTCTCTAACCTCTGTAAAATCTCTATTCTGTTTCTCAGTAAGGCCTGAGTTATTAGAATTTTTTTCCTCTTTACAACAGATACTACTTCAGCAGGGGAAAAGGGAAAAGAGGGGAATTAGTTTGTTCTTGCTATTTAATAACCTGGGGAAATTCAAATGAAGAAGAACAAACATTAGACTAACTAAACACCTAATATATGATTGTGTCCTTTCTGGTCTCCTGAAGTCAAACATATTGTAAGTATTGGATAAAGCTAAATAAATTTAGATCTCAGCAATTGATTAGTCAGAAGAGCATGACATTAACTAAACTTAATGAAAGAGAAACCTTCTCCTAATTAATTGTACATTCATAGATTACAGGCCATGAACAGCTGGAACAAATGTACCTGTATCCTAACAACTTGAAAGCAAAAAATCTTTCATTTTCCTTTATATATTTTATTTTGTTAGTATTATTATTACTAGATACCATTAAGGTTATACTTTATCTAGAAGACAATTGTGATACAAATCAAGATTACTGTAGATTTTAAATTCTGAGACTACTGATTTTATTTTATCAAGGTATAATTTACATACCATAAGTCACTCTTTTAAAGTTGTTAGCAGACTCTCAAAGTTATACAATCATTACTACTACCTAATATAGAAATTTTTCATCACCCCAAAGAGAAATTCTGTTCCCATAAGCAATCACTCTACCATCTTCCCATCCCCCAGTTTCTAGAAGCTATTACTTTCTATCTACTGAAGTTTCCTGGAAAATTTTTGGATATTTGTGATTAGGTTTTGGTCTGTAGATTACAGGCTGAAGAAGTGGTCATATTTCCTTTTGTTTATCAATTTATAATTTACTCAACAGTGTTCTTATAGCTATATGACTCACTGTAACATTGAAAAATTGGGGTCCCATAGATATTTAAGATTGGATTCATCTGGATTTATAGGATTTAAAATATTTTAGCGATGGAGCTACTAAATACTTCATTTAAAAAATGAAGTAAATATGATTAGAATCTAACCTTTTCATTCCAGTTCCATGGAGAAGAACATATGTGCTCTGATTTGACCAGAGAGCTCAGGAAGGTACAACAGGGAATCTATGGGTTGTGCTAACTGAACATAATTATATTTTAACAGCACAGGACAGCCATATGCTGAGAGAACAACCAAACACATGCAGTGCAGGTTTTGATCTGGCTAAAAAGAGCTAAGAGTTATAATGAGAGAGGAGAAAGTAAGAAACTGGTCAGTCAGGCAGACAGTTAGGGTGGGTTGTTGGTGAAACTCCTTCAAATCAAGAACAGCCTGCAAATCAAACTGCAGGCCCTACATAAGAAAGAGCCCGCATCCTTAAATGGAAATGCTTACTCTATGAACCCAGATGAACAAATTCCACTCCTTTTTAGGATACATTTCTGTCTCCTTAGCACACCCTAGTCTCTTACTTTTTATCTATTTTACATATGCCTACCTTTCTGTAATTGGTTGCGGGCTGTCTTCATTTACATAGGGTGAATCATCACTTCAGCCCCTCATTGGTCCTGGGCCAAGTTCCCAAGCCAAGCCTTCAGCTCCAACTCCAACTGGTTCTTTACACTTTCATGCTCTTTCTAAGTGGTAATTTCTCCAATATGGCCTACAGACCAGTCAGCACATTCCTCCCCTTCCAGTCCATAAAAAACCCCAGACTCAGCCTCATAGCTGGCAACCCTGTTTTGGGCCCCCACTCTGCTACAGAGAGCCTTCCGCTTTTACTTATTAAACTTTCACTCCAACCTCACCCTTGGTGTCCATGCTCCTTAATTTTCTCAGTCTTGATACAAAGAACTCCATGTAATACCTCAGACAACAAGACTGCATCAACAACTGTTATTTGGGTGGATGTGTTTTATATAGAAATTTTTGCAGCAATAAAAGATTATTTTAAAAAGTTTACGGATGTGCAGATGTTTAATATTTGAAGAACTCGAAGGTGTAGACACAAAGGCAGTTCCAGTGTTGAACCATGGATCTGGATAGGATGGGAGAAAGTCAGGGGCATATTGGTAACTAGTTGTAAATATTATATTTATAATCAAAGGTGTCTCTTTAAAGTGTCTGAGTTTAGATGTAATATAAATAAGGGAAAGATAAAGTTTATAGTTAGTAGAGTTCACATTGAATGATACGTTGGATTTAAGATTTTAGAGTTGCAGTAAGTTGAGTTTAAGGGATGAACATGTTTTAGCTAAAGTGGAGTTGAGTTTAGATCCTTGAAAATTCCTTGTCAAAAAATTATTCAAATCTTTGAAATAAACAAAAAAGACTACTGAATGTTTCTTCATGACATATTGAGTTTAACTTTTTTTTTTGTCTTGGTAATTGTAGGAATCGAGGTTAACTTGGAGATTTTAGATAGCTGGAGGTATACATAAATTCTGCCCAGGGAATAGATTGTCTCAAACAATGAAGATTATTGGCCCTTTAGGACATTAATAAATTTTTTATGTAATCCAGAAATCTTAACTTTTATTGTTAGAAATGCCTATATATGCCCGACTTCCATAATGCTATTTAGAACACATTTAATATCTTACTCTTTTACTCATTAATTTATCTATAAAATAAAATATTTTGTATGTGGTTGCATTATACTTGGCTAAGAATCATTATTTCACATTCTGAAAAGTATACTTTAGCAATTTTTCAGGTTCCATCAGGATGTCCTTGTGGAAGCACCATATAAAGCTAAGTAAACTGTGCTGCCAGTTTATATCTACTAGGCTATTTAAGACCTATCATATCTTTTCTTGGTTGCTAGACTGAAACAAGCAACAATAGAACGTTAACTTTGCTGCTTATGTGGTTAATTATTTCTACTAATTTTGTGATATTTTTATTTCTGATTTCCATACAGCTGAAATGTTATTCCTCATTGGTGAAAGCAATGAATGGGAATTGATTTTGTGTTATGAATTTTGCAATTTCTGTCAGAGTTCTGTCCTTGCTTGGTTGAGAAATGACAGATAAGCTGACTTTGTAGAGATTTGTTTTAGTTCGTCATTGTGAGCTTCAATCAATTAAAAATTCTGTACACACTGGGAAGAGCAGCTCTTTAATATCCAAAGCTATATGGTTTGTGTGTGTGTGTGTGTGTGTGTGTGTTACCTTAGCTAAAGTTTACAACTGAAACTGTAGGTTCTCCAACTGTCTGTATAACCACAATTCAGAGGCGCCTTCACCTTTTATATTACCAGAGTGAAATATTTATGGATACTTTTACTAATAAATTTAAATATAAACTATCTTAAATTTGAAAAACTTTCTTCTAAGTGGAATATAACATCCCATGAATTTTAAGAACATAAAAAAACAAGCTTCTAATTATTTCAAGAGTGCTAAAAAATCATTTTTTCACAGACTTCTAACTGAGAAATATCTTGAAAATCTAAGTTCATGTATTTAAGGTGAACTTTTTTTTTTTTTTTGAGACAGAGTCTCGCTCTGTCGCCCAGGCTGGAGTGCAGTGGCATGATCTCGGTTCACTGCAAGCTCCGCCGTGAACTTTTAAACAAATCAGATTGATTTAATCATTTCGATTCAAGAATGAGAGAAAAGCTATACACAGTTGAGAAATGAAATACTGATTACTATGAATAGTTTTAAGTTTATATAGTTTGCTTCTTATTTTTCAATGCTATGAGGTGGCCAAATCTTTTCCTCATGTTATGAATGTGTTCATTGTTGCCATTTTATGTGATAAAGAGTTGTATACTGTGGTAGAAAATTGAATTATGTTATTTCATGAGCTTTGATCATCTATTAAATATTTATGTATGAAAGACAGTTCTCAATTATTGACCTCCTGTTCTATCTATCTATCTATCTATCATCTATCTATCTATCTATCCATCCATCTATCTAACTAGAGAGGGTTGCCCACTCCAGCCTGGGCAACAATGCAACCCTCTCTCTCTATCAATCCATTAATATGGACATCCTTCCATAAAATTAAACAGTTTTTAAAGATACAACCTTCTGATTGAGCCATTGGAATTCAGGAAAAAATATTTTAACTCAGTTACTTGTTATGTTACTATCATTATTTGTAGGTTAAAAAAAATCTGTTCTTGTTCAAAAATATATTTGGAAAAATCAATTATGCATTCTACAATAAAATATTTGAGAAGATTCTTATTTAATTAGGCATGAGTGATAAGAAAAATAATTGCACTTTTATAAAGAGATATTATCTAAAAATTTTTCCTAATAAACTAGCTTACAGGATCAATTTCAGAAATTACAATGAATCTCACTCACTGGGAGGCTTAAGATCATAGCAAAATTTGGAAAAACTCAAGAAGAAAGGAATTAACCAAATTTTACAGTTATGAGTGACGCAATATCATAGAGTGTATCTTGGGCTTGGTTTCTAAGACTTGGGAAAGAAGAGGAAATAATAAGTGCTTTTAGAATGCCACATGTGATTTTTTTAATGAAAAATTTCAGACAGAATTATATGGCGTAGGAGTTGCTTGATACTCTAAGACTTAAATTTGCAAAGTGAATTCAAAAAACCCATATGCATTAGCAACCATAATATACCGATGCAAATCATTAAGCCAAACGCAACACTAGCCTTTCTGGGCTCAAGAGTAATTGATGGAAATTACTTACATGATAAAGCGGAAACGGTCAGAAACACTAAACAAAACATGAAAAAAAGTAAAAGAGATTATTGATTTTTTTTCAGTGCAGTAGTGTATTTGATTTATTATTTGAGAAACAACGTTGTGGAAACAAAGGTGAATGTATAGATGTTCATTTGGTGGAGGTTCAAATAATTTTTGTTCAATAAAATAGATAATGGTAAGTTCAGATTTTAAAACCACATCTATGACTGTAGAACCTAATCTTATAACTGATAATATTATGTACAGAAACAGTACTGGAAATGATGTTATTTCTGAAGTTTTCTCTTTTAAAGTGCCAGTTCAGTAGAATTTTAAGAGTATTGTTTATATAAATTTATTTCAGTTAAATATGATACTCACTTTATGAATGCTACTTTTAAAAAGTCATTAATATGTAGATTAGATTTAGAAAATAGTATTACACATGACTATATGTTACATGTTATATATGTACATGTTGTATGTAATATTAAATATACATAAAAAATTCAATTATCTTCTTAGTTTGCGGATCAGCTAAAACATCTAAACTATCTTAAAGTGAGGTAACTTCAGAGCTATACATAAATACAAACACTTAATTTCTTTATTACAGGCCACTGTTCCCTAAATTAGTTAATTAATATTTAAAATGTAACATTAATTATATTTTAAAAAGCATGTTTTCATAAAGTTGCAACTATTCAAATTTAGAAAGGCAAGTTGTAATTTAGGTTTATAATAGCATGAATATTATCTTCTGGTTGACTTCCTTTAGCAACCTCAATAGCTAAAGTGTGGATAAAGTCTGTATGCTTTTAGAAGGGTCATTTTTCTTTCTCTGGGATTATAAATAATGTATTGGTAATGCATAATGTGTTCCAAAGAGCTAGTACTGCTATGCTTAATACTTTCTGTCAGTTATAATGATGTGAAAGGTACATTGGATAATAAACTGCTGTGCAAAGTGAATGTGAATGATTCTGTAACAAATGTATAATTACTTAATTTTTAATATGATTATGTGTATCACAAAAAGTCAAAAATAAGACATTTGGCTTGATACTTTTTTGACACCCCTATGTATACAAATGGACGTTATAAGGTCAGTTTAGATAACACCAAGGAAAATTTGCTATCTTTTGAAAGTCAAGATTCTAAAAGATTTTTAGGCTATGTGTCATGCTCAATCACTTCCTTAGGCCGGTGTCATGGACAATAAAGTAATTTACCTGGACAGTTGTAGGGAAAGAAAGGCAGATTTATTAGTAAAAAGGGGGAGATATGTTGCAAGGTAGCAATGGGCAATACAGCAAAGGCAGAAGGCTGTTTGCAGAGAGGCAGGGGCTGGAGGGGAATTTTATAAGGTCGTGCCGCTTGGACTGAATGCTTGCAGACAGGATGAGTGAGAGCAGGAGGGCTGTAAGATGTGTGCTTGTCACAGGATGCCTGGGTACTAATGAGCCATTTGCAGTTGACCCTATTTCCTTGAAACGTTCACTCCTCTCCACCCTTGTTTTTTGTTCCTGCCACCTAAGCCCATTTTTCAATTTTCTTTTACCTTCTTAGGGTCCACACATGATACTTGTGCTAGAATCATTGTGTTTGATTGCATGTATTCTTAAATGTTAAACCATTTGAATTATCTGATGGTCAGTAGTTCTAAAATCTTTCTCAGTAAAGAAATCCTGGTAGCATCTAATACTAAGCTGGAACTAATAAATTAATTTAAAAATATTAGATATAGTTACTAACATTCTAGAATCAGATTCAGACAAAAGATTAAATGCAAACACATTTTAAGATTGTTTGCATGAAACATGCTAATGCTTGCATATTTTAATGTCTAAATATTTTGAATTTAATTTTACACATTAGATTGAAGAATATTCACAACAATGTGCATATCACAGTTTTAAGCAAGACTTGTTCCGATATACAAGCACAATTTTCTTATGTGCAATTTCCTGACTCATGATTTCTTATTGTTCTATTTTCTTACAAATAATTTTGAATGTAAGAGGATCCATTAGGGATTTTAATGATTTTATTTTACATTTAATAAAAAGATTGGTAAGAATAACAATAACATTAACAATAATAATAGTTATGATCAAATAGCCATTGATATTTTTAATGTGGCAGGTAACTATACAAATTGTTTCACTTGAAGAGTTTATTATTTAATCACAGTTCCAGGCATATACTACAGTAAATGCTCCCATTTTTATAAATGAAAAACAGAGGCATACAAAAATAATGTAATTTGACAGTGTTGCCAGAAAAGGGTTAATTCAGCAGGTCTTAGTTGCTCAGTCTTCCTGCACATTCCAAGGGAAATTATGTCTTAGCTGGATCCTATGAGATAATAATCAAGCTTCTGGGATATTCCACATAATCAAAACGTTTTTGTGCATCTCAGACCTTAAAACTTGGACCAATCTGAGCAAATAAGTTTATTCTAATTGTGAGAACTTCAAATTTCTTTAAGATTGATATATAAGGCAAAAAGGAAATAGCTTAATACATTGCTTATTTACTCAATTTCTTAACTAATATTTTTGATTATGCAGTTTTGTTATTGATTTGTTTATACAAATATATCCACTTTGCCTTTTTATTAATCAGGGTTCTCCAGAGAAACAGAAACAATAAGATATATATACATATATATATATATATATATAATTGTGTAAATACACATATATATAAATATACATAAACATATGTATGTATACATATATACATGTATAAACAAATACATAAATATATGTTATTTATATATGCATATATGTGTATAAACAATAAGATATATATTTTATTGTGGACATACACATATATATAAACAAATATATATATACACACAGAGATATGAGGGAAGACTTATTATAGGAATTGGCTCATGCTATTATGGAAGCCAAGAAGTCCCAGGATAGGACATCTGCTAACTATGGTTTTCCTATTTTTCTTCTGAAAATTATCTGCACCAATGCTTTTGTTATAACCATGATTTGTGAGAAGTCATCAAAAACAGCTTAGTAAGCAAGTTTACTTTTGAAATTGCTCCAGGTTTTCCAAGTTTCTAAGGAAAATTAAAAGTCATAGAAAAAAGCCTTTATTTCTCTACTTTGAAGTTCTACTCATGCGTTTACAAAACTTGGACACATTAATATAGAGAGTACTCAATCTCTCAATAAGTGAGAATAGTTTGGCAAATACTTGCTGCAAATCCACATTTTTTTTTTCTAAGAGTCTGCAATGCATTCTGAGCAATAGGTAACTTGGTAACTCATCTGGGCTACTCACTCTTCTTATATTTCTAATTTTCAGATATTCTCTGAAACATCCTGTGCAGAGGTTCACTTTTTTCTTTTGAGTATATGCCTGCCTAAGAAGGTAACAGTTATTTTTCTCAAAACATATAGGAAGGATTCTGTTTGTTTTTCATTTAAGCTGGTAAATATCTATAAATTATAGATATTGAATTTCTTATATTTAGTCTATAAGAAAGGATTCATACCTTGAGCAACTCAGTCAAATCTAGAAAAGATGAGACCAATACCAAAGGCAGAAATGAGTGCCAGTGGTCACATACAAAGTTCAGGGAAAAATATTGTCCAGCAGTGTGTGGTAATATTATTAATTTTCCAGGAATCCTGAAAAGATAACATTTCGTTTGAACTCACATTGACTCTGGGAGATGAAACTGAGATACTGTACTAATGAGGCATACTGAAATAAACAAGAAACAACTGTACTACCTCCAATGACAAAATATGGAGACAAAGGGGAGGAAAAGAGGGTAAAAATTAAATCAGGAAAGGGGATTGAAGAGAACTCTATTTTCTATATTCTCAGTAAGCAAATTTTTCTCCATTCATACCTGGAGGTTCATCTAAGCTCTTGTGACCACTATGAACTATTTGAAAGCCTCAGAAAAAAAGAGTAGGTGTGAAATTTAAGAGGATGGAACAACAATTTTCTGCAAATATAAAAATAAAGAATTGAAGACTATCACTGTCCCATTTGACAGGTCCATGAATAATTATGTCCTATTGACTTTAATTATCTCACGACGAGAAGTAGCTCACTATTCTGCAACACAGTAACAGCTACTGCTTTTTAAAAATATTTAGTATTTTTCACACACAATGCTAAGGGCTTCACATGAATTATTTCTTTTGTTTCTTAAAATGAATCTATAAGAAAGGGGTTAATATTGTCTTTATTTCATAAATAAGCACAGTAAATCATATACAATACACACAAATTATCCTAGGTTATACAGCTAGTCAGAATTTGTAGACACTTTTTCTCAAGATTGCTTTTTTTGAATGAAAACATGTCCCCATCCATACGTGTAATTTCTGCCTATATGGTTTTATTTTGGATGTTACTTAAGAAATACTTTTTTTTATAAAGAATGTTACCATATAAATGAATGAATGAATGAATGAATAGTATAAATATTATCTAAAGTCTATTAAAAATGTTGTTTAATTTTGTTGAAGACAGGCACAATCAAAAGAAAAAACAAAACAAAACAAGAAACTGAACCCTTAAGCATTCAAAATTCAAGCCTATTTTAGAGTTTTTGACTGGATTTGCTTCCGTTTTTTAAAAGTAATTATTCTGTCTTGATGAGACTGGACTTTCGTAAACTGAGCAACATGTGATAAAACAATATTATGGTAAGTCAACTTATTTTTCTATCATGTTTTATGTTTTTTATATGTTTTTGTTAAATAAACATTGCAAATGTCCAAACAATATATCCATCTTTCATATAACTGTAATATGAAAATAATAAAATTATTTGATATGATGGTAGGAACAATGAGTATACCTACATTTATTTATCTTGTTAGATGACCAGGTGTCACACACTGGCTGGTGACTAACATTTATTGCCATAGTAAGAACAATCCTGGGTCTTCTATACCAATACAGGAATCAGACAGTCTCTTTTTCTCTCTATATATATATATCTCTCTGTTTCTCTCTCAGTCTCTTTCTCATCTTGAACATCACATATCTGTTGATACATTTTTAGGCATATTTTCTCAATATAAATTTTTGTACTTTCCTCAAATCAGAATATGTACTTCATTATGTTACACCCTTGCGTCTGATTACTTTATGTGCTAGTTTGGATAACATGTTCTTCACAGGTAATAGGATCAGTCAGGACAACTTACATTTCTGCTCTGCTTTAAGTACCCTTGTCTTTTCTAGTTTGGTTAACTGCCCAACAGCTTGCAACTACTAAACAAGCTCTAATTAACGTGAATGTTATTGTCAGAAACAGACCTTTGGGAATCTAGACTTAAATTGCTACATGAAGGTATAATTTAGTGCACTTGATGAGTAACAAGCTCTATTAGGGAACTGAAAGCCTTAGCAAAACTGGCTAAGATCTTAAAATACATTAATAGGGTTACTTTTGAATTGGATTTTTACAAATCAAACGGAGTAATACATTAATGGCTGGATAATCAGGAGGACACATAATAAAGATAATCTTAGTTTGTGATAAAAATTTAATCTTCAGCATGAATTTTCTCCTTATATTTGATCAAAGTATACTTTGATATAATTGGCAAAAGAGTTAATGGCAATTTTACCTTACAGTTTTTTTTTTTTTTACCTTGCCACTTTCTGTTCCTCTATTTTTCATTATTATTACTACTTGTTTTATAATTCCAAAACCTTGCTTTTACTCTAAAATTTAATCAATCGATTTTTCTCCACACTAATCCCTGGGAAATAAATAAGTATACTTAAATAAGAATGCTGTTACCTGTATTATAGCATTAGAATTGGAAAGCAGCCCTGGACTTTTTTGTTGAGATGAAAAAAAGCTATTCTCACTCACATGCCCAAATTAAGACAGAAGAATGGATCTCTATTATTTATATAGATTTATATGATTTTCCCATATTTATATTATAAATATGGGAAAATCATATTTAAATTGGACATGCATAGAAATTCAATGTAATCTAATCAATCAGCCGCACCTGGAAATAGAGACAAAGAGAGGTGTCCCTGAGCAATGTGAATATACTACATTAATAGGTAAGAGAAGATATAAAAACCACACCATTATATCCAGAAGACAATCGTTCCACAATAATTAATAAAAATAATGGAAAAGTATGATCTCAGAATCATCAGTATACTTGTTAGCTCCCCAGACCCTCTAATATTTCATTTTCCCCAAACACTGAACACAAAATAGAAAATCAGATTAAATATGATCAGCTTGCTTTGATATGCAGCTGACTTGTGCTCATGAGCACTTTATCTACCTCATGCTTTGTCTTTTTCTTTTAAAACCCAAATAAAATAATTATGCTAATTCTCTCCTTCTCACATTATGTGTGATTTTGTGAATCATGGGATCACATAATATTACATTATTTTTCTATAAATTATTATATTAGACTTATATCTTGAATGCTCAAAACAAATGCATCTACTAGAGGTGGTTAGCTTTCTAGTTCAAGACACTATTGCAAAGGTTGTATCAGTATTATATTTCAGAATAGCTAATTAGAGCAATGAACAGTATTTCTCAGTACTTCCATATATTTTTTACTGTGTTGATACATTATAATGTGTCTGAAAGGGAACACTATATAGAAAAAATGGCTTTCCATTTATAAAATTGGAAGGAAATGTAACAACAACAATAAAATGTTATTCTATGTAAGGAAGAATGAAATAGAATATAAGGGACATGACATGAATAGAAGCAGAAGCTCTGAGAGGCAACTCTTGTAAGTTTTCCTACAGAACTTATTAATAGGTTAACATAATTCCAAAAGTTAAATTAGATTAAACAAGTAATCTTTAATTTAAAAAATATATACAAAACTAACTCTCTTTGAATTAGCAGCAACACATGGAAAGGGATAATTTCAAGTAATTTAAAGTCGCATTAATTTGACTACTATCCTAATGAAATGTATTTAAAGACAGAAAAGACTTTCTCTTTCTCCCCCCTCATTCTCTTTCTCACTCTTTCTCTCGCCATATATGTATGTATATAATATACTTATATTTTAAATATATAAATTATGTACTTATATATTATATATATTTTAAATATTATATATTTATATATTTTAATCTATTTACTATGTTAGAATATTCTAATATATAATATACATGTCAAAATACTTTCATTACATAATTCTACTTTTAATCATATTATTGATATTGGTATTCAAAAATTAGATCTAAATTAAAGTATAAAAATAATGTTATTGGAATTTAACATTAGAACAAAGAAGAAAAAATTTAAAAATAAAATACATATGTATAAATTCTATATTTTAAATTTTAATTTGGAAATATCAGTTGTTACTCATGCTATTTTTTCTCTAAAATTCTATCTGTATGCTTAAAAGACATAGAAACAATGACCCAGTAACAAAGAACATCACTGATAACTAGCTTGTGGTCTCTAAATTTATTAAATGTAGGGTAGGAGCAAGAAAATACAAGAAAGAACTGGAACATCTTGTCACTAAGAAAGCAAATACAATTTCTAAGACTTCTGGGAGCAGAGGAATTGGGTGGAAGTGCAAGAAAAAGAAATGAGTATGGGTTTAACTATTCTGTTCTCTCCAAGTTTTACATAAGTTAAAAAAAAACTTCATAGATAATGCATCCCAATTAGTGAAGCTTGTAGCCAATAAAACATAAAAATAATAATTATTTATACAAGCTATTCAACAAACAGATCTCTACCTTTAGGAAGTAGGTTATCTTCAGGAGGAAGGCTTTTATTGTTTAGCTTGCATTTTCTGCTGCTTGTGGGTGTATATATTGTAAATGTTTTCATTATTTATGTCGGAGAAATCAATATTTTTCTGAATTTATGACAAGAGCATATATTTCCATATTGTGTGAGAGCATTACCATTGACAGCATAAGAATTTATAACATGATGATAAAATCCCATCAACTACATGCATTTTAAAATCAAATTTACCTTCTAATTCTTCAAAAATGGAAATATAATTAAATATTGTTCTTCTGAAACATAGTATAATTCACAAATATGATCATCAGTCACTTTACTGTGGACATACTGAAAGTATTAATTTTACTATAATTTATAAAATAATAGAGATTATTAACAATAAATATATATTAACCTATTCTTTGTATCACGGTATCTCCAATCTGACTACAAAATTTCTCTGATTCAGAAATGATTTTGATATTTTAAATTTTATTAAAATTACCAAAACAGTAATATCAATTTTTTGTTTTAAAATATAGATATAAAAATAGAATCTATTATACTTGTTTATTTCTGTTAGAATAACAAATATTTGCATTTGCTTTTGAATAGAATAGATTAAATTTCTTCTACTTTTTAAGGAATGAAATGTTTGAATTAGACCTTTGCATATTTTAAGCATTAAATTGTTACTAAGTGTTGTTTTCATTATCAGCTAAGATATGTTAAAAAGCAAAATTAGTTCTTTTAATATAAATATTTAAGAATTTGGGATCCCATAAGCATAATTGAATTAGTTGAGATTTTTTCTGATTAAATTAATAAATCACCCTCAGAACCAACCATTAAATACATGACTTTTTTGAGTTTCCAGAGGTCCATAATGCTTATTTTCCTTGTTATAAACATTCCATGAGATAATTTTTATTTTAAATATTTCAAAACATAATCTTGCCACATAAATTAATATTTATACATTTAATTTCAATTTCCTAAAGTATTTTTTTAACTTCACAGGATTTATTTATGACAATGATCACACATAATTCTTGCCATAGAATGTCTCAGATGTGACAGAGCCTAACTCACCATTTTTGGACACACATGAAATTCTCAGTTCTTGCAGTTGGGTTGGGGTCATGTGACTAAGTCTATGAACATCTTAAAATAGCTTGTAGGATCCTACACAGACTGCCTGTTTGGCCATCTCAGAGCTTAGAGCATCCAGTAGAGGACACTGTCATAGCTGGAAAAATCCCAGATGCCAACATCAGCACATAGAGGAAGTCTGATAGACATCAGATTGTGATATGAGCAAAAAATAAACTTTCATTTCTTGAAGCAGCTGAGATGTCATACTATTGATTATAACAACTGACAGTAAATATTCTAATATGATATACAATTTTGTTAAAATAAGTGATTTAATTTCCTGATGTCAGTAATTGTCCTGTCTTTTAAAAGAATATATTTAGAAAATAATATGAAAGGCCACAGAAAAACAATGAATTTGAAGAAAATATTGTGCAACTAGAAATTATAGATGTTTACAATAATGTTTATAACAATGTTATCTTTGATAACATTGCATCACACAATGGCTTCAAAAAGATGAAGGATTATGTACATATATAGAGACAGCATAGAAAGACAGAGAGGTAGGGGTGAATGCATGTGTGTGTGTGTGTGTGTGTCTGTGTCTGTATACACACATATGAAATGAACTGCTTTTGTGGATGGGTAGATGGGGAATCTAAATGTGAGATGCAGTTTATTGTATGACAGCAAGTACCTAGATTATATTATTTACCATAATATTTTATATAGTGACCCCCATAGTAGGTGCTTTAAAATATGTGAATAAATAAGCAAATAAAAGGAATTATGATAATCTGTCACAATACTGGTGTTTGCCTGCTATATTGAACAACAAACATTTAACCAAGTTTACTCCAGAGAAGATAAATCTTTGCAGTGTTGCTATAATTCTGCAAACCCATTTGCCTCCTAGAGCATAATGTGCTGTTCAAATAGATAGGAAACCAGTCAATGGAGCAGTCAAATCTATGCAGATGATTGTCTAAAGCATACTATTAAAGAAAACTAGAGCCTGACAGTAGTTAAAGTGTTAAGAACCAATTTTATTCAGGAAATATTGCAATGTAGGAAAAACAACCTCAGTATAGAACTGGGCTCAATTTTGAGTACAATGAAACAAGTGGGGATTTATAGCCTTGGAGATGATTGGGGCATGGGGGTCAGTAGGGGGAAAACAACTGAAAGTAGACACCAAGTAGGGGGATTCTTGTTAAACTGACAACAGAATTCTAGCTGAAGTCAAGTTGGAGTGATCAGATTATCAGGGGTGGGATTCTCTTTAAAATGATTTACTTAGATTCTTGCTGAAAACAGGCACTGCAGGCCCAGTAATGACTGGAGGAAAGGGTGAGGCCTAGTGGAGAAGAAAATGCAGAGAAGCCTGTCTGAAGTTTAGTCAAGAAGAGAGTCTTTGTCAATATGTGTTGATAAACCACACCTGACTGGTGTGTGATGGTGTAAACAGATGGAGACAAGGGAAGACAAAGAAATGTCATCTAGCCACTTAAATTTTTTTCAAATAAAAATAAGTTGGTAAGCATGCAATGACAAGAATGGTTAAACCTACCCACTTTGAGAAAATAGAAATAAAAATAATTATATGAAACAAAGCTTTTTAAGGAACAAAAAACAAACAGAAAAGCAAACAATATTCTTTCTCATTTTGATATATAAACATTTTATTTCAGAATAAACAATGTAATGCTATATAACTTAAACTCTACTAAGCTATGGGATTATTAAAGAAAATAATGCTCTATTACCCAATTTGCATATTAATTGGACATATTTATTTTATTATGTCTAATCAACAGCTTAACATCCGTCTATATTCAGTTTTGCCACTACATTTAAAATCTGAAATCTCTTTATAAAGTAGTTATTGCATAGGTATTTTATGCAGTGTATACAATGAAATCCTCTGATCTTGCAGCAATGTATTTGATTCTTGCTATTTCAGTTGGTCTTTCTCTTTAAATGTTTTCTAAAAATAAATTAATCTGCAAAAAATTCATTCTTTGATCTAAATCCCTGGCCTAACCTGTATACATCTATAGTCAAGGTCATCTCCACCTCAGCAACAAATCTATTTATATTTTCATCCTCACTTATAAATTTTTAAAATAATATTGACATCCTTGAAAATGTTCTATTTCTTATATAGGATAACTCCTTGATATTTTGCCACCTTTATTACACAGTTCAAATATTGTAAGTCAAATGAAGTTTAAGGTACATAAAAGTAAATCTGAGACTGCAGTTTTATTTTTTTCCAAAGTTTCAGGCATATGAACCTGTTTATAGCATTAAGGGTAAGAAGTATTAGACTCCTACATACTTGCATAACATAAATGAAAGGAATTATGCAGGAGATTGTTGGAAAAGGATTATTGGTAAAAGTAGGTGAAACTGTGTGCCTCTGTACTTGTTTCAATACTGTGCCCTCTCAACTGCCTGAATGACAGATAACCCTGGCTGGGCACTGTGCTTCCTGAAGCCATTGAGTGATTCAGAGTTCCCCTTTTTTAAACTTTAGTGAAGCAACAAGTAAAATGATTGCTTTATGGATTTTTTTTCACCTGCACAAAAAAAACCTATTCCAAAAAAATTAGTGCACATAACTCTGGTTTAGCTTTATCAGCGGTTTTTACACAGTTAATTAGTTATCAGGCTGTAAACTTTTAAAACAGTGTTATTTACTAGAGCTGCCATTAAACACAGTATCTGGGAATAGTTTACAGCATTGTATTTTTATCTCTTTAGAAGATAATTCCAGAACTTCTGTTACCAAAAGTAAATCTAGTATTGCACGAGCCAGAAACAAGTTTCTGAAAGGTAGAAGGGAAAGCAAAACAAACAAATGAAAAACTAGTTTTAATTACATGCAGAAAATGGACAGAGCACAACTTGGCATCTTAATGATTAATTCAGATCCCCACATACTTGCTTTAGCTGTGATAATTGGTAACATATTCAATATGGTTGGATGGTCTGATCAGTACTGCTAGTAAGAAGCTACTCAGGGAGGTCCTGTCAAGTAATTCATCAAAGGTACTTGGAGTTAGCATCTTTAATATTATCTCATTATCCACATGCTATGTGTATCAAATAAATAATACACATTTAATAGATAATCCTATAAATTACATACTGCATTCAATAAACATTTGATAAAGCATGTTTTTGTATCAATAAAAGCCTAACAGATCATTATAATTCTAGACATTAACACTATTTGTGTTTGATGTTATAATTATGTAAATTTTTATCAATTAATAATAAAATGGATTCTATTTGGAATTAGTATTTCACTATTGTATTTTCCCTTCATTCATGTATTGAAAACTTACAGTCACTACTTACTAAAAGTAGTAACTGTTCCCAGTGCTTCATATACATCATTTGGTAAAGATTTGTTTAGTTATCCAAAATGGAAAAACACATTTAAAATGGCTTAAACATCATAAAACACAAAAAGAATTTCAAGGGAGTTATTCCAGGGTTGGTGTCCATTTTGTCTTCTCTGAACATGGACTATCTGTCATGGCCTTAGGAAGTCTCCCCTCCTCCAGGTATCATATCAATATCATATCATGTCATACCAAGTCAACAAACATTGCTTGGCACATTACTACTTCCAACAAAATTGCAAAACTTCTAAAAGAGAGAAAAGAACAAATAAACATATGGTAGCCAAATAGCAATATCTGACACACATGTATTGACTTACTTAATCTTCAGGTCAACCCAGTAAATTAGGTATTCTTATTTTACAGAGGAGTTAACGGAAGCATATAGAGATCAAGTAACATAAAGTCAGAGAGATTATTACCATTTTTCTTTCACCAATTTCCTTGTATTTTCTCCTTTGTATATACATCTTTGGCTGCTTTTCATTTTATTTGATTGCCTTCTGACAAGCTTTTCTTCAAAGTTATAGGAAAGGTCTTAACATAACACCTATCCCTCCATCCATTCATTCATCCATTCATTTATGGTGAATATTATGTGTGTGAATGTCAATCAAGGCATTAAAAAATCAGCTAGATAGGAGGAATAAGTTTAAGATATCTATTGTACAGCGTAGTGACTGCAATTAATATAATAGTCTTATGGTAGATCTGCAAATGGGACTTTTGAAATACCTCATTCCAAGTTAATATGTAGAGAAGAAATAAGCTGCAAAGTCTCGAATAAGCTTTTGTAAATAAAAGTATTAAAATAACCATGAAACAATAAATTATTTTATATTAGTCATCAGGAAAATAACTATATTCTTCATCAAATGTTGGTACACGCATACCAGAATGGTTACAATGAAAAAAGATATAAAGCATTATAGTCATCAGGAAAATACTAAATTCATCATCAAATATTTGTACACACATACCAGAATGGTTATACAATGATAAAAATAAATAATATAAAGCATTAGCATGTATATATTATAGAATAACAGGACTCTAATGCATACCTGATGAGAAAACCAGTAGCATCTATAAAAGCTAAATATAGCAAACTAAGACTCGGCCATTACAGTCATAGATATCTAACCAATAGAAATTTGTATATATGTCTACCAAAAGCCCTGAGTATTTATAAGAACATTATACATGAAAGCCTCAAAATGAAAGCAATGCCAGCAGTTGAAAGGATCAATAACAATGATACATATATATGATGTGGAACACTATGGAATTTTGGATAATTATTAGTGCTATGATACACAACATCCATGATTTCATGAATGAACATAGAGTGAAACATGTAACACATGGAGTAATGCCCTGCCCAGTGTGGAGGACTCTAGAGAACCAGTCTGGCCACAGTGGCTTTGCTGCGCCCAGCCCAGACCTCCAAGCCTCCTTAGGACTGTCAAGCGAAAACTGCCTACTCAAGCCTCAGTAATGGCGGACGCAGTGCTGGCAGTGAGAATTTCAAGCCAGTGGTTCTTAGCTTGCTGGGCTCCGTGGGAGTGGGACCCAGTCAGCGAGACCACTTGGCTCCCTGGCTTCAGCCCCCTTTCCAGGGGAGTGAATGGTTCTGTCTCATTGGGGTTCCAGGCACCACTGGGGTACGAAAAAAATCCTCCTGCAGCTAGCTTGATGTCTGCCCAAACATCTGCCCAGTTTTATGCTTGAAACCCAAGGCCCTGGTGGTGTAGGCACATAAGGGAATCTCCCAATCTATAGATTGCAAAAACCGTGGAAAAAGCTTAGTAACCCAGCCAGGTAGCATAACACGAGAACTTGGTGAAACATACACAAGTATCAATAGCTGAATCTATCAAGAGGAAGAAAGGATATCAGAGATTGAAGATCAACTTACTGAAATAATGCATGAAGACAAGATTAGAGAGAAAAGAATGAAAATGAATGAACAAAGTCTCCAAGAAATATAGGACTATGTGAAAAGACCAAACCTATGATTGACTGGTGTACCTGAAAGTGACGGGGAGAAGGGAACCAAGTTGGAAAACACACTTCAGGATATTATCCAGGAAAACTTCCCCAACCTAGCAAGACAAGCCAACATTCAAATTCAGGAAATACAGAGAACACCACAAAGATACTCCTTGAGAAGAGCAACCCCATGACACCTAATTGTCAGATTCTCCAAGGTTGAAACAAAGGAAAAAATGTTAAGGGGAGCCAGAGAGAAAGGTCAGGTTACCTACAAAAGGAAGCCCATCAGATTAACAGCAGATCTCTCGGCAGAAATCCTACAAGCCAGAAGAGAGTGGTGGCCAATATTCAACATTCTTAAAGAAAAGAATTTTCAACCCAGAATTTCATGTCCAGCCAAACTAAGCTTCATAAGCGAAGGAGAAATAAAATCCTTTACAGACAAGCAAATCCTGAGGAATTTTGTCACCAGCAGGCCTGACTTACAAGAGCTCCTGAAGGAAGGAGCACTAAATATGGAAAGGAAAAAATGGTACCAGCCACTGTAAAAAGGCACCAAAATATAAAGACCAACAACTCTATGAAGAAACCACATCAACTAATATGCAAAATAACCAGCTAGCATCATGATGACAGGATCAAATTCACACATAACCATATTTACCTTAAATGTAAATGGGCCAAATGCCCCAGTTAAAAGACACAGACTGGCAATTGGATAAAGAGTTAAGACCCATAGGTGTGCTGTATTTAGGAAACCCATCTCATGTGTAAATACACACACTGGCTTAAAATAAAGGGATGGAGGAATGTTTACCAAGCAAACGGAACGAAAAAAGCAGGGGTTGCAATCCTAGTCGCTGATAAAACAGACTTTAAACTAACAAAGATTAAAAAAAAGACAAAGATGTGCTTCAGATTTATAACCATATTTTAAAATAAAACAAGCACATACATTCTCCCACAGAAGTCTTGTTTGGTTAAGTACCTTGAACAAATTTCTTCATGTGCAATTTTTGTAAGAGATAATTAAATACATATATCTAATTTGTTAATATCTAATACATGGTAAAATGTATTTGTCTTCTTCATTCTTATCTTGGCTCTCAGGGCTTTTCTCAAACTTCCTATTAATCCTTTTTCCAATATTATTTATCACCTTTCTTTGAATCACAGGTATTTTGTTCCAATTTTTTTTCTCCAGTTTCTACTGATAGTCACTTCATTATCTGAAATTCTTTTACTCTCATCTCTACAAATATAAATTTTCCGATTAATGTATGGGATATATATCCCCTTCTAAGTTGTAGTTAAATCATCTCTTTTATCAAATCAAAATATCCGTTAAGTGGATCACTTACTAGATCCTTTTATATATCCTTTCTAACACTGAGAACTGTGAATTAATCATAGTGTGTGAATTAATGAATGTATATGTGTGTTTCACACACACAAGTTAAGTCACACTCACTTAAAATAAGCCAAAGAAAAGAACCACAGGGTTGAATCAAAATATGCCTTATTTCTATTTGAGTTGAAAACATATATTTATTTTCCCTCTGTAAATCAATATGCTTATAATCTCAATGACTGACTTTTGTCAAAGTATTCATTGATTCCTTTATTTTAATCATTGCTAAAAAAAATGAATCCTAAGAAAACTGACATATTATTTTTTAGATACTAAGAAGTAAAATAGTATGCTGGATTCTCTCCTTGGTAAATTACTAAATTTTAACTTAAATATAAATATGGCTGGTCACTTTGATATTTGTATTAGTACTTATTCATTTGTGAATGAATAATTTCTGATCTACTTGATTAGAACACATCCCAAATCTTTCTCTACATCTACAGAACACCTACCTAACCCAGGTTGATCAATGTCAAAAGAAATTTAATAGGAAGAAACAACATGACTAATGTCTTTCCACATAGGAAACCTATCAGTGTAAAATGGCATTTAAAAAATTTCATCCAGACTATACACATCTCTAAATGTGTTCCTCATTTTGCATGCAATGTAAAATCTTATTAACTGCTTATCTAGATTTTCTTAGCATATGCCTGTCTTGGCAATTAACATGGAGCATTTACTCTTTGAAACAATACCAAATGGTAAGAATAGATATATTAGTCTTGATGTTTATCTAAGCAATATGCATTATGGCAAGAAAATAGTTCCATAAAAGAATAACTCTACTGAAAACATTTTAACAAGATACCTTATGTGGTACTTAATTACACTGAAGAGAAATGTAAGTATCATGTTTCATAACATTTTTTTCATAAATACATAAATACATAAAAATACATCTTTGGGTAATATTTTCAGAATCTTTCTATGCAATACTGTGTTTCTCTAGGTTGGCTAGTATTATTGATATGTTACATGTGTTTGTTTTACTTTCCTTCTTCCTTCTATATTGATTCTTCCTCAATTGAAAATTCCTAAGAAAATAAGCATATGTAGAGTATGCAGTGATATATCCTTTGAAGCAAAGGTAGTGACTTGCCAAAAATAAAAATAAAAATAACTACATCTACTTAGGATGCTTTTTCTCACTTTTTTGTCTTATATTCCCCCAGGTTCTTAACCTCACATCTTTCCTAACCCCATCCACCATCACCACATCACCCTCCATAGGATATTTTCCCTTACTAGATTGTCAAGATCTGAAAATCAGCTGTATGAACCCAAGTACATAGCAAATATTCTTAAGATTTATTTTCACATTTGCATGCCCTCCAAAAAATGAGATCCACTCAATTCTGAGTTTTTAGCAGATGTTTATTGAAGACATATGTGTAACCATATGGCTTTTGGAAAAAAAAAATTGCTAGTAGTGCACTTAATAAAATCTCTCACTGATTATAGTCTTCTGCAAAATAAACTTCCTCTTAATTACATGCTTAAATTTACTTTCTAAATAAAATCTCTGCCATTTTTTCATTCGTATAAAATGTGCTATATGCCAAATAGTTTGAAAAGTTAATGCCTGCTTTGGTTTACATAAAGCAAGCAAATGTCTGTCTTTTAAAGGTCTGAAATGCAAAAGACCATGGCTTGAAGAAAAGCCATTGACAAAACAAAAAAACAAACAAACACACAAAAGAACGTAATTATGATGTTCAAATCTAATATCTTTGGAAGTAAATTCTGTTCTGCACATATTAAGACTTATTGGAGACTTCAAATACAATGAAATGTGTGAGATGTTAAAGTACAATTAAGCTATAAGATTTAATCCATAATGTGCTTAGATTTATGTTGCTTAAAGTATTTTCTTTAAGCCACTTTTTTCTGTCTTGTCCTTTATGCAGATTTTATTAGATAAAGGATGTTATGTCAAGAGAACTCCTAAGATCTTGTTTGCATCTGTGAAATTCTGAACAATTGATAAGATAATATTTCCAGAAGACATCAATGACAATTTAGTAAGTATTAAAATAGAATTTTATTTTAAAAATGCTTGAAATAAATGTTACTGTTATTTTGCAAGGGAATTTTACTTGCTTCTTGGAACCAAAAAGAAGTTGTGTCATGCAGCCATCACTGATATGATAGCTGTCTTGCCTTTAAAAATTAAGGTAAAAGCAGGGCGTGGTGACTCATGCCTGTAATCCCAGCACTTTGAGAGGCTAAAGTGGGCGAATCACTTAAGGTCAGGAGTTGGAGACTAGCCTGGCCAACATGGTGAAACCCCATCTCTACTAAAAACACAAAATTAATTGGGTGTGGTAGTGGGTGCCTGTAATCCCAGCTACTTGGGAGGCTGAGGCAGGAGAATCTCTTGAACCTGGGAGGCAGAAGTTACAGTGAGCTGAGATCACGTCACTGCACTCCAGCCTGGGCAACAGAGCGAGACTCCGTCTCAAAAAAAAAAGATTAAAAAAAATTATGGTAAAATATAATTAACATTTAAATTACTATTTAATTAGCTGATAATGTGGACAATACTGAAGATAATAAAGATATTTTGTTTAATTAGAATATTTGTTGTCACAAGAATAGAGAAAATGAGATGTAAATGAGATAGAAATTAGATAAATAAAAAAACAAGACAGAAAAAAATGTTTCTAATAAAGACCCATGACATCGATAATACTAGATATTTGTTTGGAATACAAATGGTAAACTTCCTTTATCGTGTGTTTCACAAACTTGACAAAAAAATTAATACAGACATTTTTCTTCCAGAAGGCTTCATTTCTGGTTGCCTTTTTTCCCAATTGAAAATAGAAGTTTGTTTATTTCTAAGATTATTTAAGGCATAAAACTATTACATACTTTAGGCTGGGCACAGTGGCTCACGCTTGTAATCCCAGCACTTTGGGAAGATGAGGTGGGCGAATCATGAGGTCAGGAGATCGAGACCATCCCAGCTAACATGGTGAAACCCCGTCTCTACTAAAAATACAAAAAATTAGCCGGGTGTGGTGGCGGATGCCTGTAGTCCCAGCTACTCGGGAGGCTGAGGCAGGAGAATGGTGTGAAACTGGGAGGCGGAGCTTGCAGTAAGCCAAGATTGTGCCACTGCATTCCAGCCTGGGCGACAGAGTGAGACTCCATCACAAAAAACAAACAAACAAACAAACTATTACATACTTCATTGTGTATGATGTGATATTTTGAGATATATATATATAGTGAAATGATTAAATCAAGGTAATTAACATACTCCACATAAATTCTGGAATGATAAATGTAATCCCAAATGGAATTCCAAATAAACATAATTTTAAATAATATGTGAGTGTTGGTTTTGGTTATTGATATTATGTCAATAGAAAATGTATTATTTAATGTTTCTCTTAATTCTACTTATTGTCAATTCATTATAAATGTCTCATAGTGCGCTATAGCATTGTTGTTGTTTTTTTAACCTGACTATATTTGAATCTTTGGGTCAGTCCACAGATTAAAGTCATGATTGTGTCACCATTGAAATTTCCTTTTATTTCCTACATTTTCCGTTCTCTCTTTATTTTTTTTTCTCTATCTCTGTTTGTGGCAACAGCCTTTACACAGTACCAGCCAGGAAATCACATTTATCTTTGACTCATCTAATCCATCATAAAGTTCTACAATTTTTAGTTCCTATATATTTATCAAAATTATCTAATATTGTCAATCATAATGTTATTGTTTTAGTTAATTTTTTGCATAAATTATTACTATAGACATAATAAATCCTTGATATTGATCTGAATGTTTTTAAGAGGAAAAAGTTAATATTCAAGTGGAATGTGTTGAATTAAAATTATTAAAAATTAAGAAGGTAAATAAAATGACATTTCTTTCCCATTTTATATTTCATTTTTTTTCATGTTCCAGAATGAAAAATAATATAGGCAAATATCTTAGGTATCCTGGGCTGTGGTAACAAAATCCAATCCATTTGGGTGGCTTAAGCAACAGAAATTGATTTACTCAGTTCATAGTTTTGGATGCTGAGACTGAGTCCAAGATCAAGGTGCCAACAGACTTAATTTCTGATGTAGGCTCTCTTCTTGGCTTGCAGAAAGATGGCTTCTTCTAGCTGTGTCCTCAGATAGGAGAGAGAGAGACAGACAGAGAGGCGGGGACAGAGAAACAGAGACAGACAGAATGTGGAGAGTGAGAGAAAGAAGAGAGAGAGAGAGCAGGAGCTCTAGTGTCTCTTATTATAGGGATATCAATCCCATTATGACCCTCATGACCTCACCTAACACTAATTACTTCCAAAGGGCCTCATCTCTAAACGCCATTACATTGGGAGTTAGGGATTAAAGATATGAATTTTATGGGGTCACAAACACCCAGCCCATTTAAGTAAGGCTACATAGAACAAAATTAATAAACTGAAAAAAATACAATCTTCCAACTTTGAAAATTTAGATACTTAAGGCATGTGACTTTTTAAAATCTTATAAAGAAATACTCAAAAAGAAAATAATAAAAAGCCTTGACTTCCCAGTCAAATTATATTCACAAAAAATCATGCAATACGGTGTAACACATTAAAAGGTAATAGTACTTTTGATTTGAGCTGTCATCTTCAGAGTAGAGCTAACTTTTATTTATGTATGTATTTTTGCTAGCTTTATTAAGGTATATTTCACAAACAAAAATTGTATATATTTATAGTGTATGATGTGATATTTGGATATATGTATATATTGGGAGATGATTAAATCAAGCTAATTAACATATCCATCACATCGCATAATTACAACTTTCTGTGGTAACATTTAAGATCTTATCCCTTAAGGATTAGAGCTAATTTTCAATTTATTTTAACTAAGATAAATAGTCTAATAAAGTCCCAAGGGCCATGACTACAATAACATGGATATATTATGCTTTTACATCTTATTCTCATAAATATGCTTTAAATTCATTTCTTCAATTAATTCTCCATTTGACACTTGGAGGTTACTTTTTAAAAATCTTTGAATAAATTATTTCAAAGCCACTTATTTCTTGTAATTTTTTTGTGACCCAACTTCAAAGATAGGAAAAAAATGATGAAACAAGAAAACACACAGGCAGATATTCTATCAAACTCCAGACAAAAAGACCTCGGGTTCATTTATTCATCTAGGAGAAATCCTGGATTTCTGTCTTACTCAATTCCATTTAAGTCCTATTTATCACAGCTGAATGTCTGGTGATTCAATACTGGTGATAATGAACAGTGGACATGGCAATGTTTGTAGAGAAGAGCTCATTTTTGATAATGTGAGTAATGAGGTAACTTTAAGACATCCAGTTAGAAGTATGAATTAAGTAGTTAGTGAAAAGTATCTGGAGAGTCTAAATTCATTCTATGGCTCCAAATCGTAATTTGCATGTATATGTGTATGTGTGTAGTTTATTTTAGCATGTATATATATTTAAGTATGTATATAGGTTAAATTTATGTATATATATAGGTATACATACGTAATATATAGGTATAACATATAAAACTTAAATTAAGTATGTATACTTAATTTAAGTATGTATATAGGTTAAATTTAAACAAGGTTGAGATTTTATTGGACTACAATCCAGGGAAGCTAAAGGCTGATTGGTAAATTTCCCAAACAGATTTGTTAGAAAGGACTCAGATTACGCTGAGACATGGAGGCACCTGTGTGTTTATGGGCAAGATTCTACCAGAGAGAATAATGAAATAATATACATTTTAGCATGTATATATTTGACTGGAAGGTTTTTAAGGTAACTTGTAGAGCTAACTTCAAAAAACTGAATACAGTAACTATAAAAATATACCATTAACAAATATTTCTTATGGAAATTATTCAGTGGTTAACCTGAGTGTAGAAACAATTTTGTCTGTAACATGTTGCTGATGTTATGGAGAAAAAAACTTTATTTAGGTTTTAAAATGATATGCCAAATATCTTCATACTTCAATAGCATAGGTGAATTTATGTTATGAATGTATTCTTTTCATTGCTGAATTATTCTCTCTGGTAAAGTCTTGCCCATAAACACACAGGTGCCTCCGTGTCTCAGCATAATCTGAGTCCTTTCTAACAAACCTGTTTGGGAGATTTACCAATCAGCCTTTAGCTTCCCTGGATTGTAGTCCAATAAAATCTCAACCTTGTTTAAATTTAACTTAACTCAATCTTTTTCCCAAAATGTACTGTAAACTTTGCTTTTTGTTTAGCAAGAGGCTGCATTTCCATGTTGGGTGCTCCTTTACATGAACAAAAATTTTGAAATTAATTCATATTTTTTACCTTCAAATTTGAATAAACTGTGATTTCCTTAAACAAGTAGGAAACATTTTATTATGCATCCAAGTGGAAATGTAATTTAGGCAATTATATATGAATCTAACATATTGGTATAAAATATAAATTTATAAGACATGAAAATACTCTGGTGTTGAAAGCCAATGCAAGACTTGTGTAAAATTTAGAACTTATGAGGAAGGAGAACTGAGTCTAAAAATTAGATGTGTGAAGAAATGGTTGAGTTTTAAAAAGGTGACAGGAAGGGAGCAAATGGTAACTCACAAATAAAGGTACAAGAGCATGACAGCCTTTTACTCAGAGAAGAAAACATTTTAAAAAGTGATCTGTTGAGTTTAAGCTGCTAAAATGATTAAGCAGTTTATTTAATATGGAGACCATTGGTGACTTTGGTGTTGAAAACCAAATTGCTAGAGCAAAGGCGTGTAATCAACTGTTAACAGAAAAGGAAGCAGAGGATATACATATAGCTGTGAATAGGTTCATGGTTTTTGTAATGAGATAATTGAACAGTTTTCTTCTGATTGTTTTTGTGTGTGCATGGAAAAAGAAGCAAAGTTATCTGCTTAGAATGAGTACTGCGGAGAGGGTTTTGGAGATATTGTAGATTTGAGAAGAATAATGAAATTGTGTTATAGTCTATGGCAGGAGGAAAGTGAGTAGACTAGGGAAGTGCATGAGGTAATGATAAGGGCCCACTTGAGATTTATCATCCTAAATGGAAAGTAATCTACAATTAGCAAGGTGTTATATTTTCCTCCAGCCACCTTCATTGCTTGACTGAATCCAAAAAGAAGATGTAGAGCAGATATTGACTGGATTTAGAGGCTTTGTGTTTTTTGTTTTTCCCTGTAAAGTACACGGTGGAGGGAGCAACAAGTAAGTTGTAATCAGGTTGGTTACAGTTGATTAAATCTAACCATAATGAGGGGAGTGAAAATTGAATTGAAAAATCGAATGGGTTTATAAATTTAGGATTAAGAAGTCTAGACTAATTGGGCTAGAATAATAGACTGACATTAGGATAACATTAAGATTGAAACTAATAGTGTAAAGGTGATGTGGTTATGGCTACTGATAAAGTCTTGGGCATGACAATAGTAGCAATGGGCAGAGGTGGCTTAGAAAAAAAGATAAATGCAGAGTTACAATTCAGGAACTAAGAGTTCAGGGTTTGAGGCTGAGTGCTTCTGTATTTGCTTATATGCAATGTTTAAATTTAATTTAGATTTAAATAATCAAATATTTCTTAAAATTTTGTTTTATTTTATCTTATTTTATTTTTTTATTTTGAGACAGGGTCTCACTTTGTTGCCCAGGCTGGAGTGCAGTGGTGCGATCTCGACTCACTGCAAACTCCACCTCCGGGTTTAAGTGATTCTCCTGCTTCAGCCTCCCTAGTAGATGGGATTACAGGTACCTGCCACCATACCTGGCTAATTTTTGTATTTTTAGTAGAGACGGGTGTCAACATGTTGGCCAGCCTGGCTCAAACTCCTGCCCTCAGGTGATCCACCTGCCTCAGTCACCCAAAGTGCTGAGATTACAGGCATGAGCCACCGTGCCCGGCCAAAATTTTAGTCTGTTAACTAAACTTATCATCAATTAAAAGAAACAAAATCAAAGTTAAAAATTAGATTTATTATAATAAACTTTCTAAGGAAGCTAATTTCTTTTGACCTTTTGGCTGATCGTATATTTTGAATTTAAATAGGTATTAGTAAATTTGCATCTTGGGCAATGACTCTTTGTTTTTTGAAAATAAAATTTAACAGATTCAAAAATAAAATGGCTCATTAATTTGTAGACATTTCTGTATTTTTCACAATATTCCTAAGGTTTTATTTCTTGTTTATGTTAAAAATGAATTCCTTTTGTAAGACATAGGCAGCAAAAAATATTTAAATCATTTGTTGATGAATAATTTACATTTTTTCCACCATCCTGGAAGGTGCTGCCTTGGCAATTAATCTTGAAGACTTTATCATCCTCTGCCCATTAGCATATGATCCATGTTGTAACTAACACTAGAGGGTCCAGATGCAAAAAGTTTATAGTAAATATTGCTAACAAATGTCTACAAAATCTCTGGAATTCTCAAGGCTACTATTTCAAGCAGAAATTGATAAATGAGTAAATAAATAATGAAGAAGTTTAACTCTCCAGCTGGAAAGAAGTTAAAAGTTTGGAGGAAAAAAGATACAGTGTAATCTTTCAATATCCTAACCACTTAATATATGTTAGATTTTTAAAGATTTAGTCTGCTTTGTTGAAAACCCATCTTTATTTTGATTTAATGAAAATATTTTTAACAAACTTTTGAAAATGTACCTATAGTTTTGAGAAAGAACAGATGAATATATGAGGAGCATTGAACTAAAAAATTCATCAGCAAGAAATATTTTTCTTTACATTATTTTAGTAATTACTCTTTTAATGTGTGAAGCAAATTTTTGAATTTAGAAATGCTTTAATTCAAAACATATAAATTACAGTAACTCATTTGTATGATTCACAAATCAAGAGAGAGTTTGAAAATTGGCAGTGGAATTTAAGTATATTTCTGTTGAGAAATTTACCACTGTTTCCTCAAAGGCTTAGGATCATTTTCAACAATTTTTCTAAAACCTAATTTTGAAGTTATAATTTGATAGAATTGTATTAGAAAAATAATATATGCATTCAACAAAGGGTTATTGAACTTGTATTTATGCTACATATGCCAGGCACAGTGCCAGGATTGGAGGATACAATGTTAAATATGTTTTGCTCTCAAGGAGTTTACCTATAAGGTTAGACTCTTGTGGTTCTTAATCTATGAATCTAGGATGACAGAGTACCAGACCTTTTCAATTGTTAATGTGCCTTTTTTCTTTTCTTCAACACATGTTGGTTGCTGGAATTTAGCGCATGTATAGTTTTCAGACTGTGGCTTGGAAGCAATCTAGGTGGCTTGTTCTCTCTAGAAAAATTATACACTTCTAACAAAGGCAGAATATTCATTAAGGGTTTCTTTTTAAAAGAAAACACACACATAAAACAAAACTACAAGACAATGGTAAAGTTCACAACATTAACACAATCAGTAATGGAAAAGCCTAGTCAATGGCAGAAGAGGATAGAACCTAGGGTGGGAAATAATGACAATTTTAAATCATATATCACATCTCTTCTATTTTTGATCTCAGAATCCTGGAAATGAATACTGAGTAAGCAGTAATAGATTCAATGGCAGAGAAGCTTTATTAAAGACTTCAAACACATGAGCAGCTTGTTGAAGCTTAAGGCAGAAGGGTTTTGCCTGGCCAGCCTCATTTCCTCTTTTCTAAAACCTGTCTTCACACTCCTTCCTGTTATAAAATCCTTTGCTCTCTCTGCCAAATGTTATCATCCTCCTCAGTGTGACTGTCTCCAGTGAGGCAATCACAGCCTCTCTAGCAGACCCCACTCTTGGTTAGAGCTAACTGGTCCAGGAGTTGTTCCCTGATTCCAGTGAAGACAAGATTTACTGGAAATGCTGGGACTAAATTGAATTAGTGAATACATCTAGATGTTTAAGCTATGGTTTGTAAATCTTGGGTTGTTTGTGGGTTGTTTCTTGGACCAAAGAAATGGAAGAAGCTTTTTACAGAGAGAAGCATGAAACAAAAGTGCAGAAAAGAGCAGTCAGGCAACAATTCTGTGACTTTTTTTCATTTTTTCCTGGAGTTGGGCCACCTTTTATTGTTCAAGTATCCTTATCTGAAAGCTAATTATGGTTGTTTTCTCTTCCATTCTTTACAAAAGAATCCTAAGTAAATGTAAAGTCAAATGTCTAGGAGAGGCTGGGCACAGTGGCTCATGCTTGTAATCCTAGCACTTTGGGAGGCTGAGATGGGCGGACCATTTGAGGCCAGGCGTTCGAGACCAGTCTGGCCAACATGGTGAAACCCTATCTCCACAAAAATATGAAAAATTAGCCAGGCGTTGTAGCACATGACTGTAATCCCACCTGCTGGAGAGGCTGAGGCACAAGAATTGCTTGAACTTGGGAGGCAGAGGTTGCAGTGAGCCAAGATTGCACCACTGCACTGCAGCATGGGTAACAGAGCAATACTCCATCTAAAAACAACAACAACAACAACAACAACAACAAAAACCTAGGAGAAAGCTCTAGCACATTATAGATATTCAGTAAATCTTTGTTGAAACTGACAAAATTCCTTGAATTTCTGAAGCAACTGAAAATATATATGTAAAGTTTCAATGTATAAAAACATTTATTTTTATACAATTCAGTCCAATATTTTATATAAGAAATCATGATAAAATTGTAGAAAACATATATTAAATGTTTGGACTATTTATTATCAATTTCATTCAATCCTCATTTATTAAACATAAATAAAAGTAAGGAATCTCTAACACGGAGAAGGCACAGAGTCACAATGAATACTTCCCATTCATATAGAAGAGGATCTGGCTGACTCTCTAGTAAGAGTTCACATCTGCTTAACAGGAACAACCTGTCTAACTCACAAAAGGCCAGAAACAAATGAAAACATGATTTCTTTTCTTTTTTTTTTACTTTAATCTCAAATGTATCCCTGATACCAGTCATTTCAGCAAGGATGGCAGCAGGCCTTCCCTACCCTTTGAAAAGCAGCATGGTTGCAGGTGATCTGAACTTGGAATTATAAGCTCCTCTCATGACATCAATAATGGATATAATGTACATTGTCTGAATGATGGTTACACTAAAAGCCCAGACTTCACCGCTACATAATCTATCCATGCAACAAAACTGTATTTGCACTCCTTAAATATATGCCAAAAAAAGACAATGTAAAGCAATCTAATTCTCTAGCATTGGGCATCTTTGTCTGTGTATAAAGAATAAATATACCATATGCTATATTTTGGCTAAGATGCTTGCAACTGAGCATATACCAGTCTGCTATAAATTGTGTGTTGTCGACTGAATTGTCTCCCCCTCACTCAAATTCATATGTGGAATAGAAATATGCCTATAATCCCAGCACTAAATAGAGTTAAAGGCCCTATTTTGAAATAGAGCCTTTAGCGTGGTAATTAGAGTTAAATGGGGTCATTAGAGTGGGACCTTAATGCCACAGGGCTGATGTCCTTATAAAAAGAGAAAGTTACACAAAAGGTATCTCTCTCCCTCTCTCTCTCTCTGTCTCTTTCTCCCTATTCTCTGCAGGCTAAGAGAGGAAAGGCCATGTAAGAACACAGCAAGAAAATGGTCAAACTAGCAAGAGAGGCCTCACCAGATACCAACACTGACAGCACTTTGATCTTGGACTTCTAACCTCCAGAGCTGTGAGAAAATTAATTTCTGTTGTATAAGCAATCTAGTCTGTTGGATTTTGTTATGGCAGCAGACCAAACTACTAGAATGTGTTTTCCAAGTTGTTGAATTCAAGGGAAGTTTGGAGACACTAAAAACAGTGTGCATCCCATTAGCATAAAATGAAACTTTTTAATGTATTTTTTATTTTTAATTGATAAAAAATAATCATATACTCTTGTGGGGTACACTGTTTATTTTTAATATGTAATACCTTACAGAATGATTAAATCAAGCTAATTAACATGCCCACCACCTCACATAGTTATCATATTTTAATGGTATGAACATTTGAAACTACTGCCTTAGCAAGTTTGAAATATATATTACATTATAATTAACTGTAGTCAGTATACTGTGTAATAGATCTCAAAAACATATTCTTCCTTTCTAACTGAAATCTTGTACCCTTTGACCAACATCTCCCCATCTCCCTCCACCCCCAAGCTTATGGTAGCCAATATTCTACTGGCTAATTCGGTGAGTTCAACATTAGATTTCACATATAATAAAATCATGCATGTTTTTTGTGTCTAGCTTATTTCACTCAGCATAATGTCCCCTAAGTTCATGACCTAAGTTGTAAAAAATGATAGAAATTCATTCTTTTTTAGACTGAATAGTATTCCATTGTATGTATGAAATGAAACTTTGGCAAATAATTACAATTAGGTAACTATTCTCCAGTCCTGTGTTTGCTGTGTATTGTGTACAAAACTTCCCAGTGGATAAACATTAGGTTTGCATGAAACATAACTCTACTTATGTAGTTTAATTTCTTCAGGTGAGCATTCAGTCAAATCAATATTTTTCCCATGCACATTTGCCATTTTTGTTACTTTGGTTATTTTCTTTTTTTGTTTTGTTTTATTTTGTTTGTTTGTTTGTTTGTTTTGGTTGCCTTTTAGTTCCATAGATGATGGGTGGGGGTGAGGGTTGTAGTGTCACAGCATTTGATTGTGGGAAATCAAGTTTCTAACCTTGGAGGGGTTCTGGGCAACACTCATTTGCTGAAGTGTCATTATCATATCTGATATTGGCCATACAGCCTACACTGACTTTTAACATCGGTGCCCTTCAGCCAAAATTATGAGATTCTCTTTAGTTAAGACCTTTGGTTTTATTTAGCTAATAGCCACATCTAACCAGGTGGAAAAATCAAGATGCTTCTCCAGAACAGGTGAGATGTGGTGCGCTTGATGAGATTACACAGGTCTCTCTCCTGCTGCCACTTTGTGGGCCTCTCTTTCTACTGCTCTTTCACAATGGCAGCAAAGCTCATGTCTAACTGAAGCAAAGCTCATGTCTAATTGAAGAAAATCATTTCCTGCTACTCTGCCATTGCTCTGTTGGCTTCATCTGCAGTCGGCTAACACTTTTAAGAATTTACCTGCACACAACAATTAGGTATGTTGGGAAAATTTAGATTTTGATGTAATAGGTCTAGGCAGGGATGATGTCTTCACCAAAAACATTAAGCTACATTCTACTGAAGAAGTTATTTAAAAAAGAAGGGCCCTATATACTATGATCATTAATAAAAGCTCTTTTAGGCCAGAAACAAGGTGGTAAGACTCTGTGTTTATTATTGTATAAATTCAACGTCAGTCGTCTAATATCTTTATTTTGACTTAAAGGATTTGAATTTATGTGAGAAGCAAATTTCACACTATAATTTATAAAAAACAATTTTGAAAACAATGGTAATGTTGATATAAAGTTTATTCTTGTAGTCTTTTAATTTCATTAATTTTTCTGATATTTACTAATCCTGTACAATTTTCTGTGACCTTATAAATTCATTATCAAGTGCTGAGATCTTGGCATCTTAGTCAACAAAACATCTGGCATATGCTTGCTCCCTTCTCAACTTATCCACTTGATCTTCTCCCATAAATTTGGAGTTCATTTGCATAGTGCAATTGAATTGCTTAAAATAAAATAAATTGTCCAAATTACTTTAAAATAGAGTAACACATTATTTTAACATGTATTTAACATGTATTTTAACACATTTTAAAATACAGTTGTTATAAATTTGATGAAATATGCCTTATATTTCCCACCAAATTTAAATCAAAGAAATACCTGAATAAATGTGAATGTTATTTTTCCAAAACTATCAGTACTTACAACTATAACCTTTAAAATATTCAAAGCAGTACTTCTAAGACCATGAAAATTAAAAAGAAACAAAGGCTCTTGGTATTTGTGAAAAGGTATACATAGCATCATATAATATGAGATTATTTTTGGTTACGAACCATTCTTCTAGTAAAATTAGAAGCAAAGCTATAAATGTTTTCATGTATTAAGAGAGCAATGGAAAAGAACTTAAGAAATAAATTACCACTTGTTAAAATTATGAACCTAAAGAAGGTAAAAAAAAATTAACAGCTTCACTAATCAAGAGTAAATCTTTGTTTCAAAACATTTCACAAGGGTGAATGGTATATAACTACTGAGGTTGGACTACATATTTGAATGTATACAATTGTTAAAGGGATGATATTTCTACCAAATAATAACTGCATTACATAAAATGAAGCCCAGAACTACTCAATTTGGAGCAGTTGACCCCATTAAGACTACAGATATATATATATATATATTTTATATATATATACATATAAAATCTGCTAGCCCTTTGTTATCAACACTAGCAAAATTAGGTTTCCTGGATTTAATGTTTTGAAATTTAATTTGATCTTTATAATTTCAACTAAATAATTATAAATTATCACCATTTTCTAACTAAATTATCATAATGTATACAAGATGCAACAGTTAATTTTATGTGTCAACTTGAGTAGGTCAAAGGGTGCCCAGATATTTTATCAAATATTGTTCTAAGTGTTTCTGTGTTTTGGGATGAGATTGACAGTTGAATCAGTAGACCGAGTAAAACAGATGGCCCTCCTTAATGTAAGCAGGACTCATCTAATTAGGTGAAGGCTTGAATAGAACAAAAAGGCAGACCTTCTCCATAGTAAGAGAGAACTATTACTGTTTGACAGATTTTGGGCTGGGGCATCAGCTTCTTCCTGCCTTCCAACTCCAACTGTGGCATCAGCTCTTCTTGAATCTCAAGACTGCCAGCCTTCAAACTGAAACTATACATTGACTCTCTTGGTTCTCAGGCCTTTGGACTCAGACTGGAACTGTAACTTGGCTTTCCTGGGTCTGCAGTTGAGCTTGCCAACCCAACCTAAAGGTACTGAAACTTCCCAAGCTCCATAATTGTGTAAGCCAATTCCTCATAATAAATATCTTCCTTGCTCTCTCTCTGTATATATACACACACATTTTATCAGTTCTGTTTCTCTGGAAAGCCCTAGCTGTTACAAGAGATAATAATTGTTGAAATAGCTATTCTAATTATGTACATTATTTGCTTTCTGGAAATGATATTGATTCTTATGTGGTAAGAGTCAGTATTACAAAACAATGCAAAGTCTCCATTTATTCATGCCATTCAGGTTTCTTTGTTGGTTTTATGTTTTTCTTTTTTATTTAGATGCAGATGTTAATTTTTAAAGTTATAAAAACAAATAAAACACACATGCAAATAGGTCAATTACTATATTAAGTAAAAATATAAATATGTAAATATATATTAATTTATATGAGGTTTGAGACATGAAATATAAGTACTTCAAATATTTGTTGAAAAAAAATCAGAAAATAAAGAATGATTTTTTAGCCATTCAAAAATAGAATGTGGTATTTGCAAAAGGAAGGTGAAAACATATGCCTGTGACAACTTGGGCCCAGATCTTAAAAACCTACAAACATGATCCTGGGACCTCCCCATTCTGATGTATTCATTGTGAAAGCTCTGCCAAAGTGATATCCTAGAGATTTCATAAATGTAGAGTTGCTTTACCAACACATTGTTCTGGTATTCATTTTGTGGAGATTTCTGTCCACAAACTGGGTAACCCCAGTGAGTTCCAATCAGGATATTCTCCCCACTCTAATTCAAGACCTTTGACTTCGAAACAATGTCCAAGTTTCAACTGGCAATTTCTCTGGGGATGCTTTAGTCTTGTGCTCAAGAGTCTGTCCAAATATGAGAGTGAAGTAAATGTGTTTATCATGCTGCCAATCCTCATCATTGTTTGCTGTGAGTTTATAAGAAAATCATAAGAAAGATAATGAGAATAAATCCTATTAATCTATTCCTTTTCCAGCCTGAGAGCTTATAAATTCTGAAGGCCTCATCACAGTGGATCCTGGTAGTACTAAGTTGGCTTTGGATCACCTATCAAAACCTAATGAAAGTTGTATTTATTCTTATCTTATTTTGTCCATGAAAGTCAGATAGAGACCTCTCCTCCAAAACTTCTGTCAAACAGAAATTGCAGACTTTTCACACATGCTATTGGACATGACTGGGCATTTGGTTGGGGGCCAAGATATGAGGTATACATGCAAAGCCTTTGAACAACTTTATCCAACTCATGGTTTTTTCACTCAAAACTTAAGACTTTGCTTTTTCTAGGTTAGATCCCTGCTTCATACATATGTTCTTACTATAATGACATTTTACGTAATACTCTACATGGCAAAATTTCAACAAGTATAATTTATAATTACGAAGATTATTTTGGGTTTTGGGAAAATTTTTATATGAAAAAATGTTCATTTAGTAGATAACTTAGAACAAAAAAGGAACAAAATTAGTAACATCTTTATGTATTTTGATTGGTATAAAGAAGCTTCCAAAAAATATCAGATTCTAAAACTGCTTGCTAGCCATGTTCCATGAATTTGTGAAATTCTTAGCTGGTCTCTAAATATACAGAACTGTCTCTAAAATAGGAGCATTGAGTTGTTTAATCATCATCATCAACAACAACATCATCATCATCATCATCATCTGGAGTCAGACCTGAGTTTGACTCCTAGCCCTTCCAGTCATCAAGTCTGTAATGATGAAGTAATATCTGACACTATGTGCCAAGCTCTGTGTGATAAGCACACCACATATGTAATCTCAGGTAATCAGCTCACAAATTCTCTTTGTCAGACAGAAAAACAGAAACTTAAAAGGAAATACATTTTTCAGTTTCTAAATAACCAAGTCTTCCATATGAAGGGATTTGGAGGATTGTGTGAAACTAGAAATACATCTGACAATTTTTACAGTCATATATATGGAAAACAATGTTAAACTGTTAGACAAATTTCTTAGAAAACAAACTTCAGTGCCAGAAAGAAAATGTAAAATCAGCCACAGACAGTGAAAAAAAAAAAAAAAAAAAAAAGAAATGCAGTGTTTAGTGTTCCATCTAAAACACAGTGTGAGGATGTAGATTGGACAATTAAGTAATCATTCTCGCAACTGGCACTTTTTGATGTACACTTACTTTGTGATAATGAAGTGTGTGTGCGTGTGTGTGTGTGTGTGTGTAAAAGGAGACGGAGAGAAAGAGATAAGAGAGAAGGAGAGAGGGAAGAAAAGAATTTCAAATAGGAAGAGAGAAAAAAAACCATATTGCTCTAAAACCAAAAACTAATACACGTACATAACTCTAAACAGCATTTGAAGACAGGTACATCGTGCTGAACATGATTTAGATATTGTGTTACTGGTTTGAAAAATGAACCTCAGCACTAGATTCAAAGAAGCTGTTGTATTCTTCTGGGGTTCAGTTTTGCAGAAAATTGCTCCATAACTTAATTGCATGCTCAGAAAGCCAATTGACTTGTTTGTAAATTTATGCAACTTTTATACCTGGTAAGTCGGGTGAGTGCAGAATGGCAGGGAGGAAGAAAGTTTAATTTACTCAGAGGTATAATTCATGGTTAATAAATTGTAACAAGCATTGGTGAATAAAGAAACAGGTTCAACAAGGACAGAGGCAAAGTGGCTTCATGTTTTTCTATTTTAAATGTACTTAATTATCACAGTCCATCCTCTGAGGGCAGAAAACCATGAGACCACAACAGCCTTTGCCTCTGAATGCCAATGTAAGTAACAAATTACTACAGCTGCAACCAATCCCTCCTTTCTTATGTCAAAAACCTGGTGATCACACACACACTTTCATGTAGAGAGAATAAAGAAAATAAATAGAATATTTCTCTAATTCAGATTTTTTATATCTATAGATAACATGCAGACATCCTTATAAACTTGAATTACATATGCCCTTTTCAAAATAGATTGAATTATCTAAGAATATGGTGAATTGACAGACTCTCCGTAGTCTGCATACATAGTAAAATGGTAATTTGTCAATGTTAAAAACATTGCATGAAATGTAGAATATTCTGTAAAACACATAATAAAATAAACATTTGGGCATAGCATTTTAGGATTGTCCACATACTATGAGGTATGTTATTATTGTCTCTATTTTTTATTGTTGTTGTTGACAGGACTAAGGTTCAGAAAGTTCAAGAAACTATCAAAGGTTTCACTGTAGTGTGTACCTAAAATATAAGCACAGGTCTGCCCAAGTCCAAAGTTCCATTATCTCTTCATTCATTTGCCTGGCATGCAATAAGAAAAAAGACAGGATTCTATGTGCATAAAGCAAGATTTAGTCCCATACCTTGACTCAGCAGTTTTCAAAAGAAAGTCACCCTGGTGGAGGAAGGGATGGGAAGTACAGTGATTCAGTTTGTCTATTTAGATGTCTATCTCGGAGCAAAATCATTGAGTTCCTCAGTCATTAGGCCTTCATTTGGCACCATGGAAAATGTATTTTGTTCACTATGGTTTCTCTAAACTATTAATTGAAAAGTGTGTTAATATTAAGGACTTCACACATGTATTGTGCTCTGCTTGAAACAGTAATGAATTCTCTCCCCTCCCCGCAAAAGCAATATATTTTTAATCAAATAAAAGCATATATGTAAAATGCTACATTAAGCGCAATGTGTAATCTGGAACTTCAGATGGCTCTGTTTCAACACTTAGTTCGGAATACATGGCTTTCACTAAAAATAGTAAGATGAGGACTTCATTCAGTCTCTGTCATTTCTGTTTTATTTGCTAATGTTCATTTCTGATTTATTTGCTAACATTTAGGTCATGACCTTGAAATGATTCTGACCTTGTTTCTGTTTTATTCTCAGCTTTAATCTCTTTCAGTAAATCTCAGGTTATCACATCCAGTTCCATGGATTTAAGTAACATTAATACACTAATGAGTCTCTAACTTCTCCTTCAACTCTATACATGTAGATCCAATTGACTTCCCATCTCTACCAGGATGTCTCAAAGGCATCACAAACTTAAAATGCTCAACTTGATTCTTCTCTCTTTTATCATACTTAACATGTCCAAAATTATTTTTCTCCCTTAATCATAACTAATACCTACCATGAGCCAAACACTAGTAATAAGTACTTTTCTTGCATTAACTCCTTTTAGTCTCAGAGCAAAACTATGAGATGGGTGCTATTACAGTTCTCATTTACACATAAGCGAACTGAGGACGAGAGAGGCTAAATAGCTACCTCAAAGCAGTTAATGGTGAAGAAGGGAGGTCAACTTGGTCTGATCTAGAGTCCATGCTGACAACCAAAATGAGTGACTGAGGCAGATGTCCCAAACAATCAAAGTTTATTGAGTCATGCCTGGAAAAAAAAAGAAAAAAAAATTCACCTCTATGACTCTTTTTCCAAAAGTTTCTTAGGAGTTTTGGTACTTATACATTTTTCTTAAAAAAGGTGGGGCAGGCGGGGTAGGATTTGGGCAGCAGTAAGAGAAATGGTAACATATTTGTGAGACTTTAGTTAGTGCTTAGTAAATCTACATTTTAAATAAGATAAAATGGGAAGAATAAAAAAGGGAATAGAGGAAGCAGATGTTTCAAAGAGTTGTGAGGGAAAGATTTATCTTGTCATGCCTTTGTTCTGTACCTGGGAATATAAGCCGGTAATAGACATTATTAGTGTGAAGCCCTGTGGAAGGGCTGCTTCTGTCTGGCTCATAAGGAAGAAAGCCTAATGGTGGTTAGTGATGGAGGGGATATAATGAGGTTTGTCTCACCTCCTCTCCTGTCATGGCTAGGAACTCAGCTTCCCAGGTTTTGCTGGGGTCCCCTTGGCCAAGAGGAAGTCCTTTCAGTTAGTTGGAAGCTTATAACTTAATTTTTATTCTCAATGTCTTCAAAAATGACCCCACAATTCAATGCCTCCTGTAGTCTCATCTTCCTAAGTGCAGCAACTCTACCACCCACCCTGCACTCAGAGCAAATCATATTTTTCTATCTCCCCACATAAAATTATTCAGCAAGTCCTCTCAGCTACATTCCCAAAATGTATCTCAAACCTCGCCCTTCTAACTATACTTACTTGCCTGCATTATCATTTCATAGCTAGTGTACTGCAGTAGCTGCCTAACTGAGCTTCCTTCCATTATTTCCTGTAGTCCAGTCTCCGGATGACAGCCAGTACAATCAGGCCTATTCCTTTCATGTCAAGGACCCCTTAATGGCCCTCAACTGAAATTTGAGTAAGAGCCAAACTTCTCTCCATGTTCCTGAGATGATCTGGTTCCTACCTACCTTTCTGGGCTGACCTCACCTGAAGATTCCTCACATTTACTCTTCTCTACCCACACTGACCTTTCTTCTCTCTCTTGACCACAGCAAGCTTGTTCCATCTTAAAGTCGTTTCCCTTTGTACAGAACTCTCTTATCCCAGAATTTCGCATAATAAATTCTTCCCATCTTGCAAGTGTCAACTCAATTTCTACATCAAGGAGCCTTTCCTTAAGTACTTTCTTCAAAGCAGCGTGCCCCCATGCCCTGCCCCCAATGCACAGTACCCCTCTGTATCTCACTAACATATTTGTGTTCCTATCCCATCTGAAATTATCTAATTTTTTTCTTTTAAATTAATTGTCTTTCCCTATAACAATATAAAGTTTATAAAGACGGGGACTTCTCTGTGTTGTCCATAACCCCATAATCATCTCCTGGCAGTGTGCTTGGTACACAATATACATTCAAATAGATTTTAATAAATGAATGACACAAAATAATAAACTTCTGCTTCTCTTTCTCTCCCTATAGACAGACACATCACACATACATACACAGACACCACACACACTTTTACTCACTTTTAAATCTTTTCAAATGTTCTTTTCATTTCTTTTACCCCATTTGTGGTATAATAATAATTTAAAATAGCTTAACTTTACTGAGGAAGTATTTTTAGTGTCATGTATATAGACAACTGCCAACACATTGTAAGAAGCTTAATATATGATTCAAAAATCATCCCATGTGTGGTATCCACTTGTATTCATTCAGAACCAGCCACAAAACTATCCATAGTAATGTCATTTTCTTCACTTATGTATGTGCATATATAAGTAAAACATTTTTCCAAAATAAAATAACTTAAATATATTTTCCCCTAATAAACATAAAAGAACCAATATCTTTATATTTTTCAACCATATTGAGTCTGTCTCATTTAAGTCAATGTTGCCTTTAATGCAGCACCTCTTAACAATCAGAGCCATAAAGATGAGCTTATTAAACATGACAAGTCATTTCTAAATTTACCAATCATTAAGTCTGAGTTTGGGAAATTTAAATTACCAAAAAGTAGAAGAGGTAATTCTCTTATTTGTGGTTGAAAAAAAAATTAAAAACATTCTCATGTTGAAAGTGATTAAATAAATCAAAACATTCCTTGTATATTTCTTCAGAAGCAACCATTGGCAAAATGTTAGATTGTATCTTTAATTAAAAAAATAAAATGACACTCTGATATTTTGTAAATTTTTTTAACTCCAAAACACATTGTTTCATACTAGATACTCTTTTCTTTTTTTAGACAGAGTCTCCCTCTGTTGCCTAGGCTGGAGTGCAGTGGCAGGATCTCAGCTCACTGCAACCTCTGCCTCTCAGGTTCAAGCAATTCTCCTGCCTCAGCTTCCCAAGTAGCTGAGATTACAGGTGTGTGCCACCACACCCAGAAAATTTTCTGTATTTGTGGTAGAGATGGGATTTCACAGTGTTGGCAAGACTGATCTCAAACTCCTGGCCTCAAGTGATCTGCCTGCTTTGGCCGCCCAAAATGCTAGGATTACAATCATGATCCATCATGGTTGGCCAATACTAGATACTTTTAATATCAGTGTTTTCGTCTTGTCAGCATCAAATAGTCATTTATGAACCACTTTATATAACACAGTTGAGTAATCTGAGGAGTTAATTTATAGTTAGTAATGCTTTCACACTTCAGAGGTACTCCATAATTGAAAATAAATTTTGTATCTGTGAATGGCTTGAGAGCATTGATGTGGACTAAATAACCCTACCTGGTTTCTCTTAATCATGAGGTTGTATTGGCATTGTGTCAAGTTGTTAGTACAGAGTATTGAGAACAGAGTCTCCTGGGTGTCTGCTGAGGGCTGGAACTCTCCTCAAGGTTGGTGAATGGCCTCATGTCACTGGTGTCCAATACAGACTGGTCCTACTTAGAGGAAATGAAGACAACATTCAAGAACAGATGAGTAATGTAAGAAGATAAAGGGAAATTCTGAAAAAATAACCAAAAGTAATGCTAGAGATAAAGTGGATAGTAACAGAAATAAAGAATGCTTTTGATTAGCTCCTACATTACTTGGATTGGCTGAAAGATACTTAGGAAATACCAAACTATGTGGAGAGTAGACAGCATATTTCTACATAACACATAGGTCAAAGAGAGCATCTCGGGAGAAATTTTAAAATAGTTTTGAACTGATGAAAACACAGCTTATCAATATTTGTGGGATGCAGGGCTTAGAGGGAGATTTATAGTATTGAATGCATAATTAGAATAGAAAAAAGATCTAAAATCAATAATCTAAGTTTTTACCTTAAGAAACTAGAAAATGAAGGACAAATTCAATCCAAATAAGGCAAATAAAGGAAATATAAAACTTTAAATATTAATATTAGAGAAGAAATCAATGAAATTGAAAATAAAGAATCAATAGAGAAAAATAATACCACAAAAAGTTGGTCCTTTGAAAAGAAAAATAAAATCAATAAAATTAATGCTTCTTATCTCAACAATAAGAAAACAAAGAAACAACTCAATTAAAAAATGGGCCTATCATCAGGGCAATGTAAGCTGAAACAACAATGAGGTCACACTACACACTTATTAGAACACCCCAACTTCAGTACAGTGACATAACCAAATGTTGGCAAGGATGCGGAGCTACAAGACAGGAACTACCCTGAAGGTTGGTGAATGGCCTCATGTCACTGGTGTCCCATAGATACTGGTCCCATTTAGAAGAAATGTAGACAACATGCAAGAAGAGATGAGTAATATAAGCATTAAGTGGAAATTCTGAAAAGTAACATTCATTGCTGATGGGAATGCAAAATAGTACAGCCACTTTGGAAGACAGATTAATAATTTCTTATAAAATTAAACATACTGTAACCATAAGATTCAGAATTCTCCTTAGTATAAACTCAAAGGAGTTAAATACTTATGTCCAAACAATAACATGCACGTGGATGTTTATTACAATTTTATTCATCATTAACAAAACCTTGAAGCAAGGTGATAGATGAGTGGATAAAGAACTGTCATACTTTCAGACAGTGGAATATTACGCAGCATTTAAAATTAATACACTCCCAAGCTATGAAAAGACATTGAAGAACCTTAAATGCATATTAGTAAGTGAAAGAAACCAGTCTGAAAAAGCTAAGTACTATACGATTCCAACTGCATTACATTTTGGAAACAGAAACACCATGGGGACAGTAAAAAAGATCAGTGATTTCCAGGCTATGGAGGCAGAGGTGAGGGGAGACTGAGAGAGACTGAGAGATAAATAGGTATAGCACAGGGAGTTTTTGGGAAGTAAAACTACTCTGAATGATACTGTAATGGTGGATACATATTATTTACACTTGTCTGAACCCATAAAATGTACAACAAGAAGGACTTCTAATGTAAACTCTGGACTTTGGATGATTATGATTTTTTAGTGTAGGTTCATGAACTGTAACAAATGTACCACTGAGATGGGAAATAATGATAGTGCAGGAGTCTAGGCACAAATGGAGTCAGGAGCAATATGGCGACCTCTGTAGATTCCTCTTAATATTGCTGTGAACTTAAAACTGCTCTAAAAAATTATAAAGACTAAAAAATATACCAGATCTGATAAATGTGTTTTCCTCTCCCACATAATCCTTATTATGTACCCAGAGCAGAATATTAAATAGACCAAAATTCTTTAATTATATTGTAAAATATTTTCTCAAAGCCAGTACAATGTACTTGTTTATTATGATGACTTCTTTTCAAAATATTGCCAGGTTATTTTGATTAAAAAATTATACAACATTTCTGCAAGATTTTTTCCAGGACATTTTAAATCCAATTCAGGCAGAACAGATGAGCCATCTTCCTTATGACAGCAACTAGTCCACTAATTCTACTTTTAAAAAGCTTATTGTCAAAGCCATTCTGTTCATTTACTCTGAGTAACAAGTAGTTTGCGTTGCCAGTTGAACTCCAGCACATTTTGTTCACATAATAAAGTAATAGCTTTTATATGGATTGTTCTAGTGTCACAGACATCATACAACTCCAGGTGAGAAATAGAAAAGATTGTGATTGATTAGATCAAAGTTCAATGTTTCAATCAACTAGTAACTTCTATACACAAGTTTATTTTTGAAAAGCTGATTCTACATATTTCGGATTAAAAAAAAAAAGGCAGTTGGTTGATAAAGATGAAGAAGTTCAATGTAAAGGAAGAGGAAAGAATAGAGAGGCTAATTATCTGACTTTCAAAACAATTTCCTGTAAGTAAAAAGTAGAAAAAATGTTTTGTTTTTTTTTTTTTTCTGGGGGCAGGGGTATTGCCAACACCTTTCCACTTATGCTAAAAATCTGGAAGTAGTTATTGATTATATTACTTTACTCAACATTGCTGTGGCCAGGTTAGTTCAGAAAGACAGGAGGAACCCACCTCCAAAATATGGTTTGTATGTAGAGATGGATAATATGACATATATACACTAAGAAATTATAAAATCTTTATTACTTTCATAAGACGTCTAGGGGAGACTGGGCCAAACCTTCCAAAACAGTTTAAGAGGGCAAGAAAACCAGACTGATGTGAGGCTTTTATTGTGGTTAGGGGTAGGCTGGGGTGAGGATTTCCCTGTGCAGGCAGGAGCATGCATGTTTTGAATCTCGTTTAGGTACGAAAGGGGAGTACTTGGGCTTCCTTATCAGTTTTCCCAGATATAAGCCACAAGGAGAAGAGATGGGGGTGAAGCTTAAAAGCTGTCGGCAGTCAAACATCGAAAATAGAGTTACATGGACACAGGAAGGGGAACATCACACACCGGGGACTGTTGTGCGGTGGGGGGAGGGGGGAGGGAGAGCATTAGGAGATATACCTAATGCTAAATGACGAGTTAATGGGTGCAGCACACCAACATGGCACATGTATACATATGTAACAAACCTGCAAGTTGTGCACATGTACCCTAAAACTTAAAGTATAATCATAATAAAATAAAAAAATTAAAAAAAAGAAAATAGAGTTAGACGCTTTATTGCAAATATTATACACAGAATTGCCAACATGTTCTTCCAATGTTACCACTAATTTTTATCCCTCCTTCATACTTAATATTCCTATTTTAGTTTCAAAAAGTTATTATCTTTGTTTGAATCTCTGTAACAGGTTCCTAATGTTAAAAGAAAAACTTTAGAAAAATTAAATTTAACAGTGTTTAATTGAGGAAAGGACAATTCAAGAATCAGGCAGTCACATGAATCAGAATAGGTTCAGAGCAACTCCCTGAGGCTGCCACACAGTCAGCTAACATTTATGGACAGAAAAAGGAAGGTGATGTAAACAAAACCGAAATGACTGGGTGCAGTGCCTCATGGCTATAATCCCAGCAGTTTGGGAGGCTGAGATGAAAGGATCGCTTGAACCCTGGAGTTCAAGACCAGCATGAATAATATATCAAAACCCTGTCTCTAAAAATATATATTTTTATAAAATTAGCTGGATGAGGTGGCACATGCCTTTAGCCCAGCTACTTGGGAGGCTGAGATGGGAGGATCACCTGAGCCCAAGAGCTGGAGGCTGCAATCAGCTATGATCTCAACACTGCACTCCACCATAGGTGACAGAGCAACATAAGTTCCTTTCTTTAAAAAAAAAAAAAAAAAAAAGGAAAAAGGAAACAAGTGATGTAGAGAAACAGCTGGGTTGGTTATAGATCAGCATTTGTCCTCTTTGAACATGGATTTGAACAGTTGGTCACCTGTGATTGCCTGAAACTCCTGTTCTGTGATTGGATGATACTTGGCTGCTTGTTACAAGAGCAGGTTACATTCTGTTTACACATCCAGCAGTAAGGTTACAGTTCACTGTGTATGGAGAAACTTTTAGGCTAAACTTAAAATATTAAGGAGGCAGCTTTTGGCTAAACTTAACACTCACCCTATTAACTCTACTCTTGCTTTCAAATTCTATCACTGATGCACAGTTTCCAGAACAGAACGAGAACTCCACACAGCACTACCTTCTTCAGACATCATTTGTGCTTAAATAAAACTAAAAAGACACATTTAGCATCCAACTTATTTATTTATCTATCCATTCCCATCTATTCATCTGTAAATATATCTCCCTTTAAAGACATAAGCAGTTTAAGATTGGAATCATCTCTTACTAATTATTGCAAATTGTTAATCGCCTCTGTGCCTCGCACATGGAATGGCTATAACAAATGCTGAACACATGAATATGTGGGGCTCAGGACTATGGAAATTTCAACCAGAAGCTCCTTTTTTCACAGAACTAGTTTTCTGAGATACAATCAAATGTGTAATTTCGAATTAGATTTAATCATCAAACAATTCAGAACATAATTTTTCAGTCTTTATGCTACTTACAAAATATATTTTTAGAGAATGATGAGCAGGTGTTAAAGTATTTTACACATGTTAAATTCCTCCTAAATACGTTTTGTAGTTTTTTTACATTACACACTCTTAGGAAATTGCTTCACTTCCAGAGCCCCAAAAGCATTGTCTCCTTTGAATAAGACTGGACTCATAGTTGAGTTTGCATAAAAACTCACTAATGCACAAGTTATCTTCTCTAAAACTAGTAAATACTAGCATACGTATACAAATTTTAAAAGTTGCCAACAAAATTTTGAAATGAAAATATTGGACAGAAAATTATATCTATTCTTATTTTTCAAGCTTTTGAACCTTTAGTTCAACTGCATATATAATACTGGATTTCAAAGAAAACAAATATAACTTCTTTATTAGTTATTTTCTATTATGTTAAAGGAGAGAAACTAAAATATTGAGAGTATATGGAGTGCTTTTTTCATCATTTACACACAAATCTGGTAACCTGGAATGTATTCTTAGTTTATTTAACAAACTTATTTAACATTAACATCACAAATGTTTGGAAGATATGTAATAATTAAATAAAAAGAAAGTGCATCATTAGCAAGATGTAATTTTGCTCTCTGATTTGGTCCTATATACTCTGCCAAATTGAAAATCTGTCCAGAACAAGGATTAGGAATAAAAAATTGTTGCTTTCATTTGTGAGTAAGCAGTATGAATGTTAAAAAGAAAATGTTGGCCAGTAATTTGAATTGAAAATTAAGATAACTGTAGGTAACATTTAATTTATATTTTACTAATAATAGAATACCAGTTGTTTTGCAAGATAATACATTCAAAGTATTAAACATCTTCAAATAATTGTTTTCTTTACAGTCAACAATTTTACATGATGAGAAATACAATGTAATTTACATACAGCACTATGATCTTCATATGTGTTGTCATACAGTGTTTCACTAATTTGGAAAGTCATTTTCAATCTTCACATATGTATGTGTATAAATGTGGGGTTTAGGTGTGTGTGTGTGTATATATCTCTCTATTTAAGCTCATTTTAGAGTTCTAAAATAATATGACATAAAATAAATGGCATATTTGGTTTTCCAAAAATCTAACAGGTTAAATAACTATTATAATTAAAATACAATTGTCATTAAATCATTCACCTATATTTCATATTTAACCTTACTAGGTAAATAATATGCTTTGAAGATAATTTCCTCAAATAGATCTTTAATAAACAGCATTCATGTTGTAATTATAGTTCCACATAGAGAAGAATTTTAGAATTATGCTCCATGCTGCAATACTGCTTTGTTTTTAATAATGTATAAATTAGTACCTTATTGTCATTGGTGATCATTGCTTTTTCCTTCCCTTCAAAAATCACTGATGTCGACAGCAATAAACCTGTGGACATCGTTGTGTTCTTACCTCAGAGGGAGAAGATAGCATCTATGAAGATGCTTTATTTCCAACCAAAAATTAAGTCTCCATAAAAAATAATTCATAGAAGTCCATCATAAAACCTGATGTGTAATAAGAGCAAATAATATGTTTTTAGATATGGGTTTTTTTAAGGAAAGTACAGTATTGTGTAAAATAGTATTTTAAATGTGTTTTTTTTTTAAATTACCAGAAACAGTTAAAATTTTATGGAATATCCCTTTATGCTATAATATAGAATCTCTTTCAAGTTTCATGACTTTTGAAAATTAACAGAAGTTTCTAACAGGTAAGAAATTTGGAGCTTCTTAAGGTGAACTATATTAGAATCTTGCATTTTTCATATTAACAAATCCCTATATTATCACATATTTCTTAATCATCTTCTTTGATGGCCATGAGAATATATCTCTCAAATAATTGTAGGGAATATCATTGACTGACAGTCCCAGCTGCTGAGCTCTGAAATGCATCATTGTATTTGTAGCAGTCACAGGCTGCTGCCAGCTAATGACTAAACATGGCAGGGAAAGTAATGCTTGGTGTTTCTGAGAGATTCAGATTTCTGAAAAGAGTCCGACTCAAATTCTCTCATATGGTTTGGCTGTGTCCCCAACCAAATCTCATTTTGAGTTATAATCTGAATTGTAATCCCCAGGTGTCATGGGAGGGGCCTGGTGAAAGGTGATTGGATCATGAGGGAGTTTTCCCCCATGCTGTTCTCATGATAGTGAGTTCTCATGAGATCTGATGGTTTTACGAGTGACAGTTGCCCCCTCTTCTCTTTCCTGCTGCCATGCAAGACGTGCCTTGCTTCCCCTTTGCCTTTCCCCATGGTTGTGTTTCCAGAGGCCTCACCAGCCAGGCAGAACTGTGGGTCAATTAAACCTCTTTCCTTTATAAATTGCCCAGTCTTTGATATTTCTTTATGGAAGAGTGAAAATGGACTAAAACAGTCTTATTGAGGATTCTCAAAATCTTGATGACCTTTTCTTATGATTATACTGCAGTTCTGGGTTAAACAGGCATCACAATTTGATGGCTCTCTCATCCTTTCTTATTCCCCTTTCTCAATTGTCTCTCACTGGTCTTTCCAATAAAAAGTTCCCTAAACAATTTGATCCCATTTCGATTTCTGCTTTTCTAAGGATCGAGATCACTATACATGCTGTGAAAATTGTCAGAATAGAAATGGAGTCACTTGAGTTAAAAAACCTGACAAATAAAGCTAGGGAAGGCCATAAAGGAAGGGTTCTCATGCACAAATGCTTGAGAGCAAGAACTATCACATAAGACTGTGCCAAATTCCACAAATTTGGACAAAGGCCATCACAATCTTAAACACACTCACATTTCCATGAGGAACTCTGCCCAGCAATTGCCTGTCCATCCTCTGACCGGTGCCATCCCAACACTGATCTTTGCAGCCAAAATAATTATCTCAAACAATTATGTAATACTCCTCATTTTTTCTTTAAAAACCTTTGTCTTCCTTTGCCTCCTTAAATATGCACATAGTTACTATAGTACTCATGTCCCAATTGCAATGCCTATTCACATTGTTTGTAGAAAGCTTCCTATCTACTTATTACATTGTTGCCAGAAATGGAAGTGAAGTGAGCTCACCTCAGTTGGATTGGTGGCCCCTGGAATTGTGTGTGGTACCTACCAAGTTTTTGTGCCTTCTGCTACTGTGGATCACCTTTACTGTCCTGGTGAATCTCCTTAGATTCTTGTATCTCCTCCCTTAGTTTTCTCAATTTATTTTGGATTTTATTTGGGATCTGATTTTGTTATAAGGCCACTCAAAATGAAAGATGTGGCATCTCTTCTGGAACTATAAATGTTTTTGCGGGGGACCAAACTCTTAGCATAAAGACAAGCATCTTTCTAGTTTGAGTACTCTGGTTTTTAGAGAATTTACATTCTGTCTCTGAAGCATGACCTTTCTGGATAATTTACTTTTGTGTCTGCATGCTTGGTTTAACATTTTGTTTAATCCACATATCTGCATTAACATATTTGTGAGTACGCTGATTTTTGGTTCATTTTGGTTTGGTTATGTGCATTTGTAAATAATTTAGCTCTTCTTGTTTTCTTTGCTTGTTTCTGAACATCTTCTGAGAGCAAAAATAAACATTCCAAATGATGAATGTGAGATGGAAAATTAAAAGCCACTAGGGCAATTGCTCCAACTAAAACCCAGTTTCAAACTCCCTGACAGGATTTACTAACATAAGATTTTCTTTGCTCTTGAGAGATTAATAAGAAAAAAAAATGGGACTCTTAAACATTAAGGCATGCCAAGCTTTCTGGGACCCCAGTCAGGTACATAGCTTTTTTTCCTGTGCAGGTTTTAAAATCTGTGACCATGATGAGGATTATTAGAACTTTCCAAGCTTGTTTTTATTATATCTGAATTAGAAACTGCAGCCAACTATAGAGTTAACATGTAGGGTCTTTTAAATTCTCTGTATATCTCTGTATTGCTTTTCCTGCCTACTCTAAATATTTTGGCTTTTTTTTTTTTTGCTTTTATTAAGATAATGTACTATTGCTAATTTCAAAAGTCACTTAGAAGTCTTAGGGCATTTCAAACAAATTAAGAAAAAATGTCTTAAGGAGCTTTCAAATTATTGATTTTACAAATTATAACAACTCCATGACAACCAACAACCTGGACACCTTTGGAAAAGTAAATTTAGGTTTGTCTGAGTGATAATTGCTTAGGCTGATAGAATAGTTAACTAAAGAATTGATATTTAAAAAAAAAAGAAAGAAAAAATAATAAAGAAACAAGTAGGCTTTCAGACCAAACAGATCAAACTCCTGGTCTGAGATAAAAACTATAAGGTATTCCTGTCTGGCATAAGAATTGCTTTGCCAGCAATGCAGGGTCCAGAAAACACCAAAAATAAAAATAAAAATAAAAATAAAAACCTTTGGATACACTCTTCCTTTTAAAAATAAAAGCACTACTAAAATGCTTTCCCTACTGACATTGACTAGTCTAACAAAGCAGATGAATAAACAAAAGAAAGATTTGTTACTAAAAAAATTCAAAGGCACTTGGGGATATTTTTCCTATACACTTCAGCCAGTCCTAGCGAAAATGTAAACATTTGAAAATTTAACCTCAAATTCATTGCAAAATGAAAAAAAGGACAGAAAAGGGATAAAAGAAAATTTTTGAAAACCAAACTGCTTTACCCAAAAATTGGGATCTGCAGCTTTCATTCGATTACCTATAGGAGCAAATAAAATTTAGCCATCTGAACAGGTCTTATTTTGTCAGAAATATAATTTGGATCCAGCTGTCTTTTATAAACCAGTGAGCTTGTATTACTTTGTTTTATTGTCTCGCGACTTAAATTTTGCAGTGAAAGCTATAAGATGTTTATTTCTGTGTTTGTATATGTGTTTAGGTCTTTATATATGTATGTTTTGTTTACGTGGTATAACCTGGTGTAGTTGGCCAGAAATCCCTACAGAAATTATATTTAGATTGGCTTACATAAATGAACAGTTATATAAACTATATAGTAATTAACCAAATGCCTTTTAATTATGTGATTTAAGTAAATCTTTGAAAATAAGCTGGTTTGAAATTTGTTGATAAAATAAAGACAAAAATGTTTTCAAAATTTTCTACATACATTTTTGCCTAGGTTTACAAGTCACACAGAGTTTTATATTTGCCACTGCTTTAAATTTTAAGGTCATCAAACTATAAACCCAACCTTCGGACAAAAACTCCTTCTTTGTCTCAAATCCACTTTCATTTGATTTTTGTATATGGTGAGAGATAAGTGTTTAGTAACATAATTCTGCATATGAACCTCATTTTCCCAGGACCAGTTATTGAAGAAACCGTCTTTTCCCCAATGTATATTCTTGGCAACTTGTCAAAAATTGATTTGCTATAGATGTGTGGATTTGTTTCTGGGTTTGCTATTCTGTTCCATTGCTCCACGTATCTGTTTTTATGTCACTACTATGCTGTATTGGTTACTATATCTCTGTAGGATAATTTGAAGTCAGGTAATGTGATTCCTCCAGTTTTCTGCTTTTTGCTCATGATGGCTTTGTTTATTCTGGGTTTTTGTGGTTCCATATACATTTCATTTTATTTTATTCTATTCACATTGAGAGTGGCACTGGTAGGTTTTTAACTTTATTTCTTGCTGTTTAACTGGGATTACTTTTAAAATTTCTTTTTCAGGGTGTTCACTGATAGCATATAGAAATGCTACTACTATTTATATGTTGATTTTGTATCCTGCAACTTTACTGAATTTGTTTATCAGTAATAATACTTTTTTGGTGGAATCTTTAGGTTTTTCCAAATATAAGCCCATATCCTCTGCAAACAAGGATAATTTTATTTCTTCCTTTATAATTTGGATGCCCTGTATATCTTTCTTTTTTAATTGTTGTGGCTAGGACTTACAGCAATATGTTGAATAACAGTGGTGAAAGCAGGCATCGTTTTCTTCTTCCAGATATTAGAGAAAAGAATTTCAGTTCATCCTCATTCAGTATGATACTAGCTGCGCTTCTATCATATATGCCTTTTATTATGTTAAGGTATGCTCCTTCTGTACTCAGTTTTTTGAGGGTTTTTGTCATGAAGGGATGTTGAATTTTATCATAGGCTTTTCCAGCACCAATTGAAATGATTATATAGTTTTTGTCCTTCATTCTGTTGACATGATGTATCATACTGATTGATTTGTGTACGTGGAACCACACTTGCATGCCTGGGATAAATCCCACTTAGTCAGGATGAATATTTTTTACTGTGATCTTGAATTTAGTCTGCTAGCATTTTCTGGAGGATTTTTGCATCCATATTCATCAGAGATACTGGACTGTAGTTTTTTTTTTTAATGTGTCTTTGTCTGCTTTTGGTATCAGGACAATACTGGCCTCACAGAATGAGTTTGGAATTACTCCCTCCTCTTCTACTTTTCAAAATCGTTTGATTAGGATTGGTATTAGTTATTCTTTAAATATTTGGTAGAAGTCAGCAGTGACGCCATCAAGTTCCAGGCTTTTATTTATTGGAAAACTTTATTATAGCTTCAATCTCATTACTTGCTATTGGTTTCTTCAGATTTTGTATTTCTTCCCGTTTCAATTTTGGTAGGTTTTATGTGTCTACAAATTCACTCATTTCCTCTAGATATTTCAATTGATAGACATATAGTTTCTTATAAGAAGTCACTAGTGATCATTTGAATTTCTGCTGTATCAATTGTAATGCCTCCTATTTTTCGTCTCTAATTTTATTTATTGGACATTCTCCCTTTTTTTGTTAATTAGTCTGGATTTGTCCATTTTAACTTTTCAGAAATTCAACTTTTGGTTACATTGATATTTTGCATTGTTTTCTTCATTTCAATTTCATTTGTTTCTGCTCTGATCTTTATTATTTCTTTTTTTTTCTACTAAATTTGGTTTTGGTTTGCTCTTGCTTTTCCTGTTACTTAAGATGCATTATTAGGTTGCTTATTTGAATTTTTATTCTTTTTTGATGTAGACACTCATAGCTATAAACTTCCCTCTTAGTACTGTTTTGCTTTATCCCAGACATTTAAATATGTTGCGTTTCCATTGTCATTTGTTTTGAGAAAATTTTCAATTTCCTTCTTAATTTAATTATTAATTCACTGGTTATTCAGGAGTATATTGTTTAATTTTCATGTGATATGGTTTGGCTCTGTGTCCCCACCCAAATCTCATGTTGAATTGTAATTCCCAGTGTTGAAGGAGGGGCCTGGTGGGGGGTGATTGAATCACGTGGGCAAACTTCTCCCTTCTGTCCTTGTGATAGAGTTCTCACAAGATCTGGTTGTTTGAAAGTGTGTAACACCTTGCCCTTCTCTCTCTTACTCCTGCTCTGGCCATATGAAAACCATGCTTGCTTCCTCTTCACCCTACCCTATGATTATAAGTTTTCTGAGGACTCCCCAGAAGCAGAAGCCTGTAGAGCCCAAAGAATGATGAGCCAATTCAACTTATTTTCTTCATAAACTACCCAGTCACAGTTATGTCTGTATAGCAGTGTGAGAATGAACTAATACAGAAAATTGGTACCAGAGAAGTGAGGCATTGCTATAAAGATGCCTAAAAATGTGGAAGTGATTTTGGAGCTGGGTAATAGGCAGAGGTTGGAACAGTATGGAGAGCTCAGAAGAAGACAGGAAGATGAGGGAAAGTTTGGAACTTCCTACAGACTTGTTAAATTGTTGCAACCAAAATGCTACTAGTTATATAGACAGTAAAGTCCAGGCTGAGGAAGTTTCATATGGATATGAGAAACTTATTAGGAACTGGAGTAAAGATCACTCTTGCTGTGCTTTAGCAAAGAGACTGGTGGCATTGTGCCCCTGCTCAAGAGCTCTGTAGAACTTTGAATTTGAGACAGATGATTTAGGGTATCTGGCAGAAGAAACTTCTAAGCAGCAGAGGATTCAAGTTGTGGCCTGGCTGCTTCTAACAGTGTATGTTCATATGGGTGCACATAGAGATTATCTGAAACTGCAGCTTATATTTAAAAAAGAAGCAGGACATAAAAGTTTGGAAAATTTGGAGTCCAGCCATGTGGTAGAAAAGAAAAACCCATTTTCTGGGGAGAAATAAAATTCAGCTGGAGAAACTTGCATAGATAAAGAGGAGCCAAATTATAACATCCAAGACAATGGGAAAAGTGCCTCCAAGACATTTCAGAGATCTTCCTGGCAGCTTCTCCTATTATAGGCCTCAGAGCCTGAGAGGGAATACTGGCTTTGTGGGCCAGGCACAGGGCCCCGATATCCTGTGCAGCTTCAAAACATGGTGCCCTGTGTCCCAGCTGCTCCAGCTCCAGCTCCAGCCATGGATACAAAGACCCCAGATACATCTCAGGCCACTACGACAGATGGTGCAAGCCAGAAGCCACCAATGCTGCCACATGGTGTTAAGCCTGCAGGTATGCAGAGGGCAAGAGTTGAGGCTTGGGAGTTATATTATTCCATTCTCACATAACTATAAATAAATGCCTGAGACTGGGTAACTTATAAATTCTCATGTAACTATAAATAAATGCCTGAAACTGAGCAACTTATAAAGAAAAGAGGTTTAATTGGCTCATGGTTCTGCAAGCTGTACAAGAAACATGGCTGAGGGAGGCCTCAGGAAACTTACAATTATTGTGGGAGATTAAGTGGAAGCCAGCCCATCCTGCATGGCTTGAGCAGGAGAGAGAGAGAGAGCAAAGGGGGAAGTGCCACGGACTTTTAAACACTCAGATCTTGTGAGAATTATATCACAAGGTAGCACTAGAAGGATGGTGCTAAGCCATTAGAAACCACCCCCATGATCCAATCACCTCCCACCAGTCCCCACCTCCAACACTTGGAATCACAATTCGACATGAGATTTGGGTGGGAACGTAGAGCCAAACCATATGAGGAGCTTCCACATAGATTTCAGAGAATGCATGAAAATGCTTGGATGCCCAGGCAGAAGCCTGCTGCAGGAGCAGAGCTCTCACGGAGAACCTCTACTAGAGGAGTGCAAAGGGAAAATGTGGGGTTGGAGCTTCCATACAGAGTCCCTACTGAGGCACTGCATAGTGGAGCTGTGAGAAGAGGGCCACCATCCTCCAGACCCCAGAATGGTAGATCCACCAACAGCTTGTACTATGTACCTCAAAAAGCCAGAGGCACTCAATGGCAGCCCATGAAAGAAGCTGTGGGGACTGTATCCTGCAGAGCCACAGGGGTGGAGGTGCCCAAGGCCTTGGGATCCTACCTCTTGCATCAGCATGATCTGAATGTAAGACATGGAGTGAAAGAAGATTATACTGGAATAAGATTTAATAACTGCCCTGCTGGGTTCTGGACTTGCATGGGGCCTGTAGCCCCTTTGTTTTGGCCAATTTCTTCATTTTTGAATGGGAACATTTACCCAATACCTGTACCCTCATTGTATCATAGAAGTAACTAACTTTTTTTTTATTTTACAGGCTCATAGGCAGAAGGAACTTGCTTGTCTCAGATGAGACTTTGAACTTGGACTTCAAGTTAATACTGGAATGAATTAACGCTCTGGAGAATTGTTGGGAAGGTATGATTGTGTTTTGAAATGTGAGAGGGACATGAGACTTGGGAAGGTCTGTGGCAGAATAATATGGTTTGTCTCCATGTCCCCACTCAAATCTCATGTTGAATTGTAATTCCCAGTGTTTGAGGAGGGGCCCGGTGGGATGTGATTGAATCATGGGGGCAAACCTCCCCCTCGCTGTTCGCGTGATAGAGTTCTCATGAGATCTGGTGGTTTGAAAATGTGTAGCACCTCCCCGTTCTCTCTCTTCCTCCTGCTCTGACCATGTGAAGACCATGTCTGTTTCTTCTTCAACTTCCACCATAATTGTAAGTTTCCTGAGGCCTCCCCAGAAGCAGAAACCTGTACAGCCCACAGAACGTGAGCTGATTAAACCTCTTTTCTTTATAAATTACCCAGGCTTAGTTATGTCTTTACTGCAGTGTGGGAATGGACTAATACAGCATGCATATGAATAGTTTCCAAAATTCCTCTTGTTATTGATTTCTAGTTTTATTTCCTTGTGATCAGAGAAGATGCTTGATATCATTTCAATTTTTTGAATGTTTTAAGACTTGTTTTGTGACCTCATATATAGTCTATCCTTGACAATGATCCATGTGCTGAAGAGAAAATTATGTATTCTGCAGACATTGCAAGAAATTTTCTGTAAATATTTTTAGGGTTGTTTGTTCCATAATACAGATTAAGTCTGATGTTTGATTGTTGATTTTCTGTCTGGATGATCTGTCTAATGCTGAAAGTTGGGTGTCGAAGTCTTCAGCTATTATTGTATTCAGATCTCTCTCTCTCATTAGCTTGAATAATATTTGCTTTATATCTAGGTCCTCCAGTATTATGTGTATATATATATTTACAATTACATATCCTTTTGAGGAATCGAACCCTTTATTTTTATATAATGGCCTTCTTTGTTTCTTCTTACAGTTTTTGTTTTGAAATTTATTTCACCTGTGATAAGTATAGCTACACCTGTATTTTTTTTTTTTTTTTTGGTTTCAAGTGGCATGGGGTATCTTTTTCCATCTCTTTATTTTCAGCCAATTTGTATCTTTATAAATGTAGTATTTATTGTAGGCGACAGATCATTGCACCTTTTTAAAAATAATTCATTCAGTCAGTCACTCCGTGTCTTTCTAATGGTGAGTTTAGTCCATTTATATTCAATGTTATTATTTATAAGTGAGAACTTACTCCTGCCATTTTGGTATTTGTGTTCTGGCTGTTTTATGGTCTTGTTTTCCTTCTTTCTTTCCTTCTTGTATTCTTTTTAACGAAGGTGGTATTCTCTGGTAGAATAACTTAATTTCTCTCTTTTTAATTTTGTGTATCTATTGAATGTTTTTTTAAATTTAAGATTACCAAATACTGTCTTGCAAATACTGCCTTAGAATTCATTATTTTAAGCTCATAATGCTTTAACACTGCGTATAAAACAAACAAAAAAAAAAACAGGAAAACTAATAAAAACTCCATACTTTAATCCATCATTTTTTAACTTTTTTGTTTCTGTTTATGTCTTATTGTACCAATCTTGAGTAGTTGTTGTAGTTATTATTTTTTATTGTTTCAGCATTTAGTTTTTCTGCTTAAGTGTAGTTTACACCCCACAATGACAATGTTGTAATACTCTGTTTATTTGTGTGCTTACTACTACCAATGAATTTTGTACCTTCAGATGATTTCTTCTTGTTCATAAATGTCATTTTCTTTCATATTGGAAAAATTCCTTTTAGAATTTCTTGTAGGAATGGTCTAGAGTTGACAAAATCCCTCAACTTTTGTTTGGGAAAAGTCTTTATTTCATCTTCATACTTGAAGAATAATTTTGATGGATGTTCTGTTCTAGTGTAATTGTTTTTTTCCTTTTTCAGCACTTTAAATATGTCATGCTACTCTCTCCTGGTTCATAAGGTTTTCACTGAAAAGTCAGCAATTAGATGTACTGGAGTTCCATTGTATGTTACTTTCTTTTCTCCAGTAGCTTTTACTATCATTTCTTTATCCTTGGCCTTTGGGAGTTTGATTATTAAATTCCTTGAGGTAATCTTCTTTGGGTTAAATCTTCTTGGTATTATATAACCTTGTACTTGGATACTGATACCTTTCTCTAGGTTTGGGAAGTGCTCGTGTATTATCGTTTTGAGTAAATATTCTACCCCTATTTCTCTTCCTACTTTCTCTTTAAGGCAAGTAACTCTTAGATTTGCCTGTTTGAGGCTGTTTTCTAGATCTTATAGAAGCTTCCCACATTTTCAATTCTACATTCTCTCAAACAGTGACTGACATGACAGTTTAACAGGGCGTGACATAAAGAGCTTGACATGACAGCAGCGTGGTGAATACTTCTTGAATAAATAAATAAAGGAATATTGAAGTTCAAAAATAGGAGTTGTAACCACCAGGGTAGTCTTTATATGAACCTAGTTTCAATGAATGGACACCTTCATCAATCACATCAATGTTAAGCTATGAAGATACTTACATCAACACTGCCAAAATGGCAGTGATCACTTTGACGGGAACAATGTATCTCACATATTCACAATGTACCTGTGACTGAATTTTACACAAGAACCTAATTGTCCTATTCCAGAACTTCCTGGAACTTAGTGAGTGTGTGTATATATATATATTTTATATATACTTGTGTGTGTGTGTGTTTATATATATACACATAAGTATATATACATAAGTATATATGTGTGCATATATATAAATAAATATATATGAGTATATATAAATAAATAAATTTATATATATACTCACATATATACACACACACACATATATATACACACACTCATTTTATATATATATTCACTGTATATATATACTCACTATATATATAATTTTAGGGTAGGATCTTGTTACTATTATTTGTAAATATATATACAAATTATATATGTACATTAATTACTTATAATTATATTATATGTAACTGTATTTTAATATTCATATCTATATATTTATAAACATTCCTCCTCAAAACTTGACCAAGGAAACATTGCCACCATATTTTGTCAAGGTGTTTAACAAAAGCTAGAGTCACCAATTATTTTCTGGAATCACTAGCCGTATTATATATATATATCATAATAAAACCAAATTTATACAAAAACTACGTGCTGTAAAGTTTCGCAAAATTTTGGAAAGTATGCACAGTTCTGCAAAATCAGCAAGAGGAAGCATCCATTTATCAATGTATCCTATCTATCTGGTTCCTCCAATACCAGAAATTGCCCAGACATAAAATGTATTTATTTTATAAATAAAATCATCCTGAAGTTAGCATTCCATTGGGAAGAAAAAGAATGCCATCTAGAATATGTTAATTTGTAACTAAAGTATATTAAGTTCTTTAAAATAACTAATAACTATTTAGTCACTCTTTCATACACTTAGCTATAATGATTGAAAAATATTTGGATTTGGACTTGTCAAATACATTACCTAAAATTGCTAAAAGTAATTTAACAGTATCAGAAGCCAACACAGTATATATTTTTCTGAGAAGAAATGTGTGAATTTGTTACATTCTAATTAACTCTGCTCTAGTAGGCAAGTAGGAAGAGAGTTTGCAGGGAGTACAACCAAGAAAACTCCCACTTCAAAAACTGGGATAATTCAAGAAGTAGAGGAGGAAAGAGGCACTCTGAAACATTATGTTGGTTTCCTACATTAAATAGAATACGTTTCCATTTCAATGCACTCTGCTGATTTATATTTATACATTAGGAAGACATAAAAACATTTTATGTTATGCTTTTCAGCCAGTCAAGGAAAAATTAGCATAACAAATTGGCTGCAATCTTAGACAATTTTAGGGAAGGATCTTGTTACAAAAGATGTAAAAGGTTTTAAAAATACATGAAAGTAAAAAGAAGTTGTGCGTTTTTAAAAACATGATTTAACTAAAGGCTTTATTGTACCTAATTAGAATAGAATTAAACATTATCTCAATGCTAAATTTCTTAGAATAATTAAATATAAGAAAAGTCAGAGTTTTGTCTTTTAAAAGTTCATATATTTACAAATCAGGCATTATTAGTGTATAGTGCAAATGATTAGTCACACCCGGAATAAAGGCAAAAGAGCTTGAGATGGTTTTAAGGAATATTACATGTCAGACAAGGATCGCAGTATCCACTCCCATCAACTTAGCACAGGGTTTCACAAGTGGTAGCAGTACCAGCCCTAGTGCAGCAGCATCTCTTGTTATTTAATACCTTATTAATCTTAGCAATCAAAAGGTGGTTAACCAGGTGAAGATCCCAGAAGTAGAACTGTCACATGCAAAAACTACTACCTAGGGACTGGTTCTGGTGTTATTATGGGAAGACAGAGGCTAACAGAGTAGAAAAGCAGCACTCCAAAACATAACAGCGAACTTTCAATGTTCCGTTAAGAATAGGTTAAATGTCTGTTGTCTGATTAACCAAAAGTCAACAGTTTAATAAATATGCACAATGTAAACGAACATAGCAAGTGAAAACTTTCAGGATTGTACTTAGAAAACTACAGTCACCCAGAGACTATCTTTTCGTTGCCTAAATAAAATAATTTTAAATAGGAAAAGACAGGCTGATTAAAATGAGTGTCGGTTTCAGGACTCCCTCTTTTCAAGCTGCCAGAAACTTGTCTAGTCGAGCCGCCCCTGGAGTCCGCATTCCAAGGCTCACGGCTCGGGTTTCTGGGCGAGGAGACCAGCCCAGTCCTCCATGGAGATTACCTGGGGCTGCAGCCGTCCACGGGCTCCTCCTTCCCCCTGGTCCTCGGCCTCACCCGCTCCCCAGGGCGGCCCCGCGTCCGGGCGGCTCTCTGAGGCTACGCGGTGCCCGGTGTCCGGCGGGGACGACTAGCGGGCGACCCCTCCCATCTCGCTCCCCACATCCCCGCGGACACAGCTGGTGGCGACTCAGACCTCTCGGGCAGCGGCTGCAGGGCGAGCACAGAGGGGACTCCGATGCGAACCGAGGCCCCGGGACCCGCCAGGCCACCCGCGCCGCCGCCCCTCTCCGGGTACGCGCGGGCCCGCTCGTCCTGGGACTAACGAAGCAAAGGCGGGAGGTGCCTCCATCGCCTTCTGCCTGATCCTGGCCTTCGTGGAGACCCAGGCAGGCCAGGCAGTTCAGACAGCCGCTCCGGGTGGGGTTGGTGGCTGCAGCCAAGGACAGGCCTGGGTCACATTACCTGGGGAGAAGGCAAGGCAGGAGGGCTGCTGTTCTGGGAGCTTCAAAGCTCTGCACAGTCACATACAAAGGTGTTTACGCCCCACTCTGAGGGGGATGCGTGGGAAGAGACACATTATTAATTCGAAATGGTAATTAAAAAATAGCAAAATAGGGTGACTGTCACTTGGCCTGGTAGTAAATCACTCCAGATCACATCTCTTCATTGACTTTCGGTGCTCCCTTCCCCACCTGTCTTATGGGTTGCCTGTCCCTATCACCACAGCTGACAGACTGAGAGATCCCCAAGGAAAATGACTGAGGTGTTGCTTCTAAGTCCTCAGCACATGGTAGGCACACACCAGATGGTTCTGTTGAATGAGCAGAGGAATGTGGATGGAAAGGGCGAGCTGGGCATTTCCCCAGGCTCTAGAAGGCAAGTACAAGACCAGCTATTGAAGGAATAGTTTTGTTGTATTGTTCTCCAATCCTGGTATATAATTGGCAGTGTGGGAGGGGAGTTCAGTCTTCCTTTTCCTTTCATTTTGGTTCTATTAAGACAGAGCACAGAAGAACTAATCATCCTCTACTTTCAGCCCCTGTGCTTCAGGTAATACAGACTCCTGCCCTGACCACAGGTGATCATTGGAGTCATTGCACCTCCTAGTGATAGCTATTGTTGCACAGATAAGTATAATAAGTAGAGATAGGTGAAACCCACTAAAGACAAAAACAACCATCCCTATCAAAACAGTTTCCATTCATGTGAAATGAACAAAAATGCACATTTACAATCTGTATCTGTGTTAACTATTGAGCCTCTGTTAGCTCTCTCCTTGCCTGTTATAATACATTCTGAAATAATCTAAACCCACTTAACACCCAGCTGAATATCACAATAATCCTTATAATAAGGCCTTGTTGGTCAATCTGAATGTACAAGAAGTAACTAGTGTCATGGAGGCCCTGGTTAAACACATGGATACCGAAAGGTGATAGATAAATCCCACAGAGATACATATCACAAAAACATTGATGGGTCTGGTGGTCTGTAACATGCTAGGACATCCCTTCCAAAGGATGTATGATTACATGTTGCACCTCCCAATGTTAATAAGGAAGTGTAATATGTGATATCGCTTTATAGATTCTGGAAGTGATATATTCCATGCTTGGTAATACTGCTTTGATGTATAAACTAGGTAACACTAAAGACTACCAACTGCTTGAGAACTAGAGCAAGAAAAGATACTGCAGTACCTTTGGGCTGCAGTTCAAGCAGCCCTGATGTTTGATCATGGCAAACATCAATGTAATTAGATACCATGTGGAGTTTATGTAAACCACAGGCTCTAGATATTCATGTTAAAGTTTTTAAAATGTTCTTCAACAGTTTAAATTGTGGTAAAAAAAACAACATGTAACATAAAGTTTTACCATCTTCACCATTTTTAAGTGGACAGTTAGAAATAGTCACATTGCTGTGAAGTTGATCTCCAGATCCTTTTCACTTTGCAAATCTGAAATTCTAGACCCATTAATCAACTCCTCTTTTCTCTCTCACCCCAGCCCCTGGTAAGCACAATTCTACTTTCTTTGTCTATGAATTTTATTCCTTTAGGTACCTCATATAAGTGTAATCATACAGTATTTTTGTGTGTGTGATTGGCTTATTTCACTTAGCATAATGTTTTCAAATGTATTAGTAAGGGTTCTCCAGAGAAATAGAACCAATCAAGTTCAATTATGAAGTGTATATAGAGTGTATAAACCAATAAAATGTGTATTGGTCATACACACACACACACACACACACACACACACACACACACACACAGATTTTAGGAGGAATTGGATTGGCTTACATGATTATGGAGGCTGAAAAGTCCCACAATCTGCTGTCTGCAAACTGGAGATCCAGGAAAGCCAGTGGTATAATTTAGTCTGCGTCAAAGATCCAAAAATGAAGGCAGCCAATAATGTAAATCCCAGTCCAACTGTCAGGGGAAGAAAACAGGCCATTTCTTTATTTTTCTACTTTTTATTCTATTCAGAACCTCAATGGATTGGAAGATGCCCAATTCACATTGAGGAGGATAATCTACTTCACTGAGTCCACCTATTCAAATGCTATTCTTATCTAGAAAAACCCTCTCAGACACAATCAGAAACAATGTTTAATCTGGGCAACTCATGGACCTTTCAAGTTGACACATTAAAAACAACCATCACATAAAGATTCAACCATGTTGTAGTATTCAACAAGATTTCCTTCTTTTTAAAGGCTGAATGGTGTTCCATTGCAAATATATATATGCATATATTTCCAATGCGCATATATATATTTATTTATATACACACTACATTTTGTTTCTCCATTGATCTACCGATGGATATTTGGGGTGCTTTCACCTCTTGGTAATATGAATAGCGCTGCTTTGAACACAAGTATGAAAACATTTCTCTCAGAACCTGCTTTCAATTCTTTTGCTATACCCTGTAGTGGGATTGCTGAATCATGTAGAAGTTATATTTTAAATTTTCTGAGGAACCTCCATTGTGTTTTACATAGCAGTTGCATCATTTTACAATCACACCAACAGTGCACAAGACCTCCAATTGTTCCACATTCTCACCAACACCTGTTATATTGTTTTTGTTTTCTTGATAGTTACCATCTTAATGGATGGGAACAGATACATTTTTGTGGTTTTAATTTGCATTTTTCTGATGATGACTGATGTTGAGTATATGTTCATATATTTGTTGGCCACTTGTACACCATCCTTACGCAGTTTATTATTTAAGAACACAAATGATTCAGATGCTTTGTCTTTGCGTGAATCTCAGATTATCCTTGGTCTTGATTTGTTTGTATAAATATATGCTATGATTTTCATTAACATTCTAAAGTGCTAATAAAAATTATGGCAACTCAAATGCATTTCTTTTTTAGCTTAAGCATTTTAAAAGTTGAATATTTGCTAAATCATATTTTCATAGGTATCTAATTGAAACTCACATGAAATCTAATTGCTTCACAGTTCTTTCAACTCTCAGCTTCTCTAGAGACTGCCCCCTAGATAAAACTAGACCTCTGTGATTGCTGTTCCACTCCTTCTACTCACTGTTCTGTCTATACCAGTGGTTCTCAAATGTTGTGACGCAGTAGAATTACCAAGGGATATTTTAAATAGCCTGCTGCCAAGGTCATTTTCCACACCAATTAAATTAGAATTTCTGGGATGAAACTTAGACATCAGCATTTTTTTTTAACTTTCCTGATGATTTTAATGAGAAGCCAGGTTTGAGAATTAGTGGTCTACACTTCTCACAGGGCATAACATACCAGCTATTTCCTTAAATTTTTGATGTCCCTAAAATAAGAGAACATCAACTAGCAAATGTACTTTTCTACTTCATAGGTTATTTACTGGCCTGCATGTGTATAGATTTATTATATGTTTTGTTAGACAGTTAGTGGGTGAACACAGGCTACTGAACAGCTTAAAACTTATTATAGTCAGTATTTTTCACTGATTAAAAACATAATTTTCAATGTAAAATTTATAATTCTATTTTATCCATGGAGATAGGACTCAAAAAGAATATATAAAAGAAAGAAATGCAAACCTGTTTCAGAATTATTTAAAAATGTATCTGATAAAAATTTATAATAAAGCGGTATGGCTGATTGCTTTTGTCTTTAATATACGTTATTCTTAATTGAAGCAATCCTGTCCATATGATTGTAGCGTTTTTCTTCAGGAAATAAAAAAAAAATAATGAAAACATGAGCACTACATTGTGAAATAAAAAAAGACATTTTTATGGAGCTTGTATTTCTATAAAACATCACTCTTGAATTCAAGGTGAAAATATCGATATGTAATCAGAAGTTCTTATCTTTAAGAAGTACTTCACAAAAAGTAAAAAGAATGAAACTGACATGCTCCTTTTTGGAAATTTTCATATCATGTATACCTGCTATTTGATATTATAAGACCATAGGAACAAGGATCCAAAATGCACATACACAGTACTTAATTAAATAGTTGCAAAATGTTTTTATTTGCTGACTTTACATTAATACATTTTATTTGGAACTAATTCAAATTTTCTAATGTGAAAACTAAAATAGAAAAATTAACAAGATTATTTAATTTGCAAAATATTTAACTATTATCTCATTAACCTCTAAGAGTTTTGTTTGCACTATTATACACCTCCTTTTATGGGTGACACCCTTAGGGGCTTAGGAGATATACTGACTTGTTCAATCTGTAACTCAGTGGTGGAGAAAACCCTCAACTCCAGTCTTTTTATGTAAAATTCTTATTCCTTTTTTGATAATTCTACTGCTGGGAAGTTACTTTCATTGAGGTGAAACGGTATTATAATAACTATCTCAGATATTCTAATAATAAAATCTCTGTGATCATTTAAATTTCTAAAAACAGATAACTGTCTTCCAGTAGCACAACAAAAATTTTTGTAAGCTCTCACTTTTTTTCTTTCTGAAAAGAAACAAATATAAATAATAAATATGTTATTTGTATTTGACAAAATTTTAGAATATATTATTTTTGCTTGAAGGAGAGATAACAGGATGTTTTGCTTACAGGTGGTAAAATAAAAAGCTGGTGTACATAAAAAGCCTCAATTATGTTTTTTTCCCTTTCATTGGTGAATCATTTATTATCTCAATAAAGAAACTCTGGAACCCATTTTGAAACATTTTATTCTCTAAGATTCTATATGAGATAAGACATCTCAACAATTTGCCATTTTAAGAATAAGTCCATATTTTAAAATTAGGAAGAAGCAGTATTCTATCTTTTACTCGAGCTCCTTTCATGATGGCAAAGCAAATGCTGCCACACGTCATGCAAGAGATGTTCCTTGTAATTCTCTGCTCCAGACCAAGCATCATGTTTTGGGTCTCCAGCTACATCTTTGACCAGAATTCATTGATCAGACCTTAGCCATCTTTCTCTGAAACCAGTATCACAATAATATAGGAATAACCAGAATGAATGCTGGGTAGTGAAAAAGATGGAGTCAAGTACTCTCAGAAACAAAGGCTGATATTTCTAGTAGCTGATATCAATAATCTACAATCAAGAACTCACTGATTCCTCTGAATCAATTTACAATTAATTTAACCAATACCAGAGTATCATCATATTTATTTCATCTTACAATGAAGTGAAAAAGGCTTAAGACTTTTTTTTAGAATAAGGGATATTGGGTTCCTCTCTAAGTCCCTGTTCCTCAAATATGCCTCTGAGTTAAAAATCATTTGGAATTCATAAAATGTATATACTGGATTTCCAAACCAACCTATAATTCAGAATATTCGATAGTGATACGAGGACCTATATTTTGTCAAGTATCCAAGACAAGTTTTAAGAACTTCTATTATTTCCATTTAAGCTTTAATTTTTGTCTTAAAAACAGCTTCTGAACCTTGCATTATGGATATTTGGGGTCATATTATTTAGTTTAAGGGGTTTGTTGGATGTTTGGTAGCATTCCTGGCTTCTACCAACTATGTGCCTGTAATTCCATCCTCCAGTTGTGACAACCAAAAAATCTCCAGACATTGATAAATGTTTCTTGAGTGGAAAAAGTGCCCCGTTTGGAAGCACTATTATAAAGTATCAAGGAAAAAGTCTTTAAGGACCTAAATATTTTTTCAGTTCCACTGAATCCAATGGTTCTTATATATCTTAATGTTAGGGACAATAGTTTTTTATGCAAAGATAACCATAGACTCTATCAAAAGAAAAAAAGAAGAAGAAAAAATAAACTATATGTCTTTTAACAGTCTATTTTATTTGAAGAAATTTTCCCCTAATCCAATTTGGAAATTTAGTTGCACTATTATTTTTATCTAAAATTTAGGAAGAATTTAAAATCCCGGGATTTCCTTTTTTTCTAGCTTTAAATTTGTAGAGTAAAGCTGTTTCAATATGATATATAACATTTACAGTTATGTTATCCTTAGAAGAAAGAGTAATCAGAGATAAAGCTCACAACATCATAATAAAAGCATTGCAATCAAATCCTATTATGATTCCAGAGATGGGTTGTATTTTAGTAAGATTTCAGAAACAAGAAAGAACACTAATCATTAACTTAGAATGACCGAAGAGCCCTCAATGTTATTTTTTTAAGCAGAAAAAATAATAAAATTATTTCATGACGCATTAAAAGCAGAGATGCTGATGGATCGTCACCTCTGTGTTTAGAGATCAAGGTTCTCCACAACTTTCCATAAGAGGAGCAGATTCTTACAAAATGCCTCCGAGCATAATTTTAACTCGAGTTTAAAATTTAATATTATTTATTATCAATGAATGTGTGTGTACTTTAAACGTGCAGTAAAGATGATTAATTTCTCTGCACACATGAAGTAAACACAATTGAAAGCTGTATTTTTTTTAATTCAGAGAAAGAAAATTGGATGTAGAATAAAGTCAATAATTATTTGTGGGGCAATCTGAGGTGGTTTAACATCTGGGACACCTGAGGACGCTGGATTGCCTTCTGCACACACTGTGCCCCACATATTCAAATCTTTACACTGGTGAGATAAGTTTAAAAACTGTATCAAAAGTAGGATTAAAGGGAAGAAGTTAATGATAAAACAGGGACATATAGGAAAAGACTTTTTTTCGCAGTTTTTAAAAATATTTTAATTATACTTTAAGTTCTAGGGTATATGTGCACAACGTGCAGGTTTGTCACATAGTTATACATGTGCCATGTTGGTTTGCTGCACCCATCAACTCGTCATTTACACTAGGTATTTCTCCTAATGCTATCCCTCCCGCAGCCTCCCATCCCCCAGGAAAAGACATTTATATAGAAGTAGGAAGGAACATCAAACTCATTTTGAGCATAATTTCATTTGGGAGTAAAGAGGCCATCTCTTAAAAGCACTGGCTTTAAACTAACATTTCTTTTCCAAAATTGTTATTGTCACTATTATGACATTTTTTCACCTGTAGGAGCTGGAACAAAAATCTCAGTTTATATAAGATCCCAGCTTCAGTTCATAGCTTCTAATTCAGAGAAAACTGATCTCAATTGTTTTCTAAAATGCTTAGTTAAAATAACAAATGCTTTCAACCTGAATAGAATATATACATAGAATTTTTGAGAGTGTGCATTATCACTGCTGAACTAGAGCATAAAACAAATACTTTAAAATACTCAATTATCACAGTGAGAAAAGAAAAGATACACAGATGGGAGGATAATTTTTTAACAGAATAAGCGCTGGAAGTATGTAGACAAAAATGCTGCATATTTTTCAGAACCCATGAAAGATAAAAAAAATAGAGTTGTGGTAATTTTTCTGATTGTTCTTTTTAAGGGTGTCTATCTATGTGACCTCTTTATTGGACACACGATACTGATCAACATGTGTTTTCTACCATAGATTTTTTTTCAAAATTTTCTCAAAGTAGCTTTGACATACATCTTCAAGAAATATATTGACCCAAAAAGAGAAATACAGTAGAATAACATAAAAGAGAATTCAGTGATTCAGTAATAGACATTGAAATTATGTTTAAAATAGATTGTTAGTGACTAGAGGCAATTAATGGACAATCTGTTGATAGTGTATGGTATGAAGAGATCGTAAATGTTTCTGAGTGAATTGATCAGTTCTGTTACATTTTCTGAGTAGAAGATTAATGGAGTAAACTTAGCAAAAGACTGAAATAACTTTGTTTTATTATGTTACTTAGCCAACTGATATTCTAACATTGGAATTTTTAGTGCATTTTCTTGTTATAACTTTGCTTTTTGTAATTTACCTAGCCATTTGGAACTTGTTCCCCATAGTACGTTAGTACAGGTGAAGTCTGCATCTTTAACAAGGGAATATTTATTTTATTTATATACCTACGGCAATATTTACTTTCATTACCATAACACTGTCCAAGGTACTTCATCGTAAACATGTATGATATAGTTGAAGCAGACATACAGTAACTTAAGCATCCTTGAATATATTCTGTTTCTTACTAGGTGAAAAAGAATTTTAGTGCAATTCAAAGATCTATATTTTTTCCTCAGAGTCAGTCTTCATTGATTTTTAGCGCTTGATCCACTGAAAATGTGTTTTAACATACTGTTACTTTTTATTCACTCTCTGATCTGTGTATTTTGATTAATCATCTCAGAATCCCTGAAAGAAACTTCGGGTGGAATTTGACTGGGAACAGGGCCCAGGAGCTACATGCTTTAGGCTTTTTGTTATATTACTGATAAAATTTCTGCTAAAATTTTTCCAGTTTTAGCAGAAAACACTTTTAAGATTTTTGCAAAATGCTGACATTTTCTAATTCTTATTTTGTGTTACTTTTTGTCTGTGCATATGATTGATTTATAATAAATTTTTATTAAGTATTAAGCACTTTTGAAAAGAAAATGCATTAAAAGAGCAATAATTGTGGTGAATAGAGTGATACATTAATGAATAAAATAATTATTTGTCATTTAGCTTCATAGATGCATTGTATATTTTGGTTTAATGAACAAACTCACCTCAGTATGTCACCCAATAAAGTATTATGATTTACAACCTTACAGCTTTTTAGGCCTCCTTTTTTTTCTTGCCTTACATTTCTTCACTTTTATCTACAATACTGAATTAGCAGCAAAAGGCACCTTGATATTTGTTAAAATATTAATAGACTTTATTGTTTAGAGTAGTTTTGTGTTTACATAAAATTATGTAGATAGAACTGAAAGTTCTCTTGTACTGGCTCAGTTTCTGGCTCACAGTTTTCCCTATTATTAACATCTTGTGTAAGTACGGTTTATTTTGCTGCAACTGATGAGCAAATACAGAAAAGTTTTTATTAACTGTAGTCTATAATGAACTTTAGCATTTACTCTGTATTGTATTGTTCTGTGTGGTTTGACAAATGCATAATTTCATGTGTCTTGCATTAAGCCTTTTGATGTTTACTTTCAATTCTGTTAATGTGCTAAAAGGTCAAATAGGAAGAAATATTTCCATATTGTAAGTCATATTTTTCCCCCAAGCTTAAAAGGTTTGTAGTCCATTGTTAGAAAAATACACTTTTGGTCATATTTGCATGAAAAGAAAAATCTTTTGATAATAAACTTAAAACTAAAAATTGCATTATAAATATGCAACAATATAATTATCAGTATATTTGGTAACCACAGATTTTACTTTACAGTATTATATACCTACTTAACATAATTCTATAAAGTAAAGGTGAAGATTTTCAATAAAAATAAAAGAAACTATAGAATTGCAAGATCAATGGACTGAGCTTAACTTTTATAAGAGCTCCAATATTTTAGGTGGAAAAAGATGGAATTCAATAAACCAAAATCTGGCTAGTCAAATATTATCTTTATTTTCAATATGGAGAGCCTGTATCTGTTGAGACAATCATGTAGTTTTTGTTTTTAGTTGTTTATGTGATGAATCACATTTATTAATTTGCATATGTTGAGCCAACCTTGCCCCAGGGATAAAGCCTACCTGATTGTGGTGGATTAGCTTTTTGATATGCTGCTGGATTTGGTTTGCCAGTATTTTGTTGAGGATTTTTGCATCAATGCAAAATGAAGTTAGCTGCATCAATAGACTTTTCCTTTCACAGAAATTTTCTCTGTAGTATGTGATGCTGCTTGCTAACATTTTACACACATAAAAACTTTCTTTCAAAATTGGAGTCCATTGGCTCAAACACTGCCCATGCTTTATAAGTCACGTTCATGGAAATGCTTTGTTGTCATTTCAACAATGATCGTGGTATCTTCAACAGGAGTAGATTTCATCTTAAGAAACAACTTCCCTTGCTCCTCCATAAGAAGCAAATCCTCATACATGAAAGCTTTATTGCGGCTTTGAAGCAATTAGGTCACATCTTCAGACTTTGCTTGTAATTCTAGTTCTCTTGCTATTTTTACCACATCTACAGTGACTTCCTCCACTAAACTCTTGGACCTTTCAGAGTCATCCATGAGCATTAGAATCAACTTCCTCCAAACTGACTTCCTTTCATGAATCAGAAATGTTGCTAATGGCATCTAGAATGGTGAATCCTTTTCAGGTTTTCAATTTACTTTACCCAGTCCATCAGAGGAATCATCATCTCTGGCAGTTATAGCCTTACAAAATGTATTCACCAAATATTCAGACTTGAAAGTCAAACTTACTTCTTGATCCAAAGGATCCAGAATGGATGTTGCATTAACAGGCATGAAGACAACACTAATCTTGTATATCTCCATAAGAGCTCTTGGGTGATAAGATTCTTCGATACTGAGAAGTAGTATTTTGAAATGAATTCTTCTTTTTCCTAAACAGTATATCTCAACAGTGGGCTTAAAAATATTCAGTAAACCATTCAAAACAGATGTGTTGTCATTTAGGCTTATTGTTTCATTTGCAGAGCACAGGCAGAGTAGATTTAGCCAAACACTTAAGGGTGCTAAGATTTTTGGAATGGTAAGTAAGCACTGGCTTTAACTTAAAGGCATTAGCATTGACTCCTAACAAGAAAGATGGCCTGTTCTTGGAAGCTTTGAACACATTGACTTTTTATTTTTTGCTATGAGTTTTGGATAACATCTTCTTCCAATAAAAGACTGTTTCACCTACATTGGAAATCTGTTGTTTATTGCAGCCACCATCATTAATTATCTTAGCTAGCTCTTCCAGGTAACTTGCTGCAGCTTCTACATCAGTCCTTGCTGTTTTACCTGTGTTATGGAGGGGCTTCTTCCCTTAAACTTCATGAACTAAATTCTGCTAGTTGCAAATTTTTCTTCTTTGGCTTCTTCACCGAAATCTTCATAGAACTGATGACAATTAGAGCCTTGCTCTGAATTAGGCTTTGGCTTAAGGGAATGTTGTGGCTAGTTTGATCTTCTATCCAGACCGCTCAACTTCTCCCTGTAAGCAGTAAGGCTGATTGGCTTTTTTGTCCTTTGTGTGTTCAGTAGAGTAGCACTTTTAATTTCCTTCAAGGACTTTTGTTTTACATTCACAACTTGGCTGAACTGCTTGGTGCAAGATGCTTACCTGTCAATCTGCCTCAGCTTTCGACATGCCTTCCTCACTAAGCATAATCATGTCTAGCTTTTGATTTAGTGAGAGACATATGACTCTTTCTTTCATTTGAACACTTAGAAAAAATCGCAGGGTTATTAAGTGGGCACATTTCAATATTGTTGTGTCTCAGGGAATAGGGAGGCTCAAAGAGAAAGAGAGAGAGAGAGAGACAGCAAGAGAGAGAGAGAGATGAGGCCCATCGGTGGAGAAGTCAGATCACACACAACATTTCCTAATTTCCCTGTCTTATATGGGAACAGTTGTAATGCTTCAAAACAATTACTATAGTAACATCAAATTTTCTGATTACAGTTACCATAACATATATAATTATAATTAAAAATGTACAACATTGCAAGAATTACTAAAATGTGACACAGAGACATGAAGTAAACATGTTGGAAAAATGGCACCAATAGTCTTGCCCAACACAGGGTTGCTACAAACCTTCAATTGGTTAAAACCACACAACATTTGTAAAGTGCAATAAAGTGAAACAAAATAAATGAGATATGCCTGCATAGATTAGAATGGTTGATATGTGGGTATATATATATACACACACATATATATGTATATATACACACACACACACACACACAGAGGCACACACATATACATACTGTATCATTATAAACAAGGTAGATGTAGCCCTACAAAATATATTTACTAAATAAGACTTGAAAGTCAAGTCTTAATAATTAGTCTTATCCTCCTGGATCCATAGGTTGCAGAATGGCAGAATGCATGTTGTGCTGGCAGGCAAGAAAACAACATTAATCTTCTTGTATATTTCCATGAGAGAGCTCTTGAGTGTGTGTGTGTGTACATATATATACATATATATATATATATATATATATATATATATATATAAACCATTTGGAATATATATGCACATTATATATAAACCATTCTAAATTGTTATTATATATATGTATATGTGTGCATGTATATATATGTATATATGTGTGCATGTATATATACACATACACATACACATATACCCATTTATAATTGTTTACATATATATGTGTGTATATATATACAATATCACTGTAAACAAGGATTATATTTTACACAATATTTTGTTTCAAAGAGCTTTCTTAACATGAATGCTTAATTTTTTTTTGTAAAGTTGGCAATGTTAACATTTCTAGTTTTCCACTGACCTAAGCAATGAGTTTGATTTTTGACGCATCATGGGCAAAACTATAAAAGCAACTTGTTTTCTATGATTTAAGTTGATAAAATAACATGTTATTTCAGAAGCAATTGAAAGTGCTGTGCAGCAAAGAGTTATTTGATTGTTAGAGATCTCAGAATATTAGAGTTTATTATAAGAAAAATACTTAGGAAAGCAATTCTTTGTGGGTGGATGATTTTATGAGAAATAATTATGTTAATAGCAATTTTATGTTAGGATAATCTGAATTAAGTTTTATGTCACCCACTCTCTTCCTTCAACATTGCTGTATATATATGACTTGTTTACAGGATTTCTCACATATACTTTGTATCTAGGAATGTAGAATTTATCATCCTACTTTTTTTTAAATACAAGAAGTCTGTGTTAAAATGTGGAGCATTACTATATTAAGATAAATGCATATTTAAACAATTATTACATAATTTTATTTGTTTTCAAATTAGCTTGAAATTTAAACTTACAATATGCAAATGCAGGTAGGGTTCTAACAATATTGGTACATTAAATTGTAGCAGTGTTAATTAGCATGTTCTTTCTGGAAAGCCGCATGGCAATGTATATCATAAACTACAGCAAAGCTTATGCCCTTTGACTCACTAATTTCACTCTTGGGAATACCTGTGGAAGTATTTCAAAAGAAGAAATTTAAAAATAAAAGCTGTAAGTATAAAGAAGTCTAATGCAATAATAATTATAATAAAAAATGGAGTAAAGTTTACATAATTCTCATGAGAATAATTAGGTAGCTTTAAGAACAGTTATTTGATGGATGTTTTATGCTGTTTAAGTGCATTTATATGTAATGTTAAATGGCAAAAAGTGAAAAAAATTTTATATAAATTATAATTTCAAACATGTATGAGTCCTAATGTGAATGTACATGTCCTAGAAACACACACACACAAACACATAAGAGTTAAAAAATGGTGTCAAATTTTAAAAATTACAAGGTTTTAAAATATCTAAATGTTTTTATATGTACATTGGATTTTAGTAACTAGTAAGATCATATTTTATTTAATAGCTTATTTAAATACTTCATTAAAATATTTTTTCCTCATTTTACTCTTTTGTATCTTGTTCATTTTATATTACTATTACAGAAAATAGTAATAAACATCTACTGTTTATATAGCAGCTTAATCATTGGATTATTTTTGTGATATAAATTTACTGTAAAGGCATATGTTGGTCATTTCATTTAGCTATCTGATAAAACATTTCTATTGATTATATATCTATGTACATATACACTCACGTTTTCAAATGAGTTATCTTTTTACAATAGAAACACAATACATAATCACACAGGTAGCTTACACCTAGAGTGTTAAGCAGAGGAAAGCTATATTCTTGAATAAGCGCACCAGCTTGGCACATGTATACATATGTAACTAACCTGCGCATTGCGCACATGTACCCTAAAACTTAAAGTATAACAATAAAAAGAAAATATATACAATGAAACGAATAATATGATTAGTAGAATCATATAAATCAACACATATATAAACTTGGATATTTAAACATGTTCCATTCTTTTTACAGTATACAGTCAGAATGCTTAGAAAATTTAGGGGATTTAGTATCACCTTGGTCAAGGGATGGTATATGCAAATGTTTACATAAGCCAGGGCAGTAAAACGGATAGATACATCTCTTTAGGTTCCATTTACAATGTGTCACCCAACATCAGAAGACCAAAGAGAGGAGCAGTGACTCTACTCTTGCTGACTGCTGTGCAAAAGCAGAGTCAACATGTTCAAAAGGCAAGATATCGACCCTGTTATGTGAAGTCTCCTGATTTTTTTTAAACATTTCAAATTTGTGTAAAACAAATAACCCTGTAAGTCGAGCAAAAGTTATCCACAGATCATATTTGCTGTCAGCTAGTTTGTGAATTCCGGCTCTAGTTCTAATCCTTTTATTTTAGAAAATACATAATTCCTATAAAATAAAACAAGGAGTCTTAGACTGCAGGTGGTAAGTCATGGAACTGGAAAAAGCACAGAGGACTCATGGATCATTCTCTAGCACAACCTCTTTTTCTCTCTTACACACACACACACACACACACACACGCATTTAAAAAAAAATCATTTATTAGGCCCAATTTTTCAAAGCAATCAATTTTAATTGTTTCATGGACATAATAAAAATGTCTATTAATATTTCAGGACATTTGAAGCTACAGAAGTTAGAGACTATTTTAGTCTCTGAATATTGTCATAATTCTGGAATCTGAAAATTCTAATGTTCTCTTAAATGGAATCTGCTAAACTTTCTCATAAGGACAAAATAATCATTTGAGTATGAAGCATTCTGCCAGCATTAAAGTAAATTATTGTCTTAAAAGCAGAAATCACAGAGGAGTGAAAACTTATCCACCTTTCTATATCCTAAATGGCATTGACATTTGAGGACAGTTATTTACACGGAGGTTGTTATGTGCTGCTTAGTTTACTTATCAAATGTCTATTTTAAATAACAGAATTCCAGAATTTGATTTCTGATAGTTTACAGTTATAAAAGTAATAAATGATATACAATTTTATTTATACCCATGTCATTGGTCATAACCTCCAACTTAACTCTAAAACATTGCTTGTATTCTGACCTCCTTAAAGTCATCTTTTTCTTCATAACCCTCTTGTTAGCATTTCTAAGCATGCCAGTTAACTCAATGGAGTATTCATTGATACTACATTTCCACATGTACCAAATAATTATCATAAGAAGAATACACAGTAAAATGAACACCTTAATCTGAGTTCTCTTGACTATCCACTGAGTCTTTCTTCTCTTCCCCTGTCCAACATGGCATGAAAATAGTAGTTGGCTATGTTCAAGGGACTACACAGTTTTGGACCAATATAATCTGAATAGAACAATTTTTACATTTTCTTCACATCCAGTTAGAAATAATAAGATATTATATCCTCACACACAAATCTCATTCTCCAAGACTAAATTCAAAATAAGCCTTTACTCTAAAATGCATGTAAAGTACTCCCACCCTAAGTCACCCCTTTTCTCTATATTAATATTTGATTTTCTTGGTGTTTATATTTTCATAACCTTTTGATATTAAAAAATACATTTTTAAAACAACTGCTTATAATAGAATGTTTTATAAGAGAATGTTAAACCTGGAAATAGTCCTTATGATTTCAACCAACCCATGGCAATAAATATGGCAAGTTTCTATGTCTCTTGGCATCCCAAGTGCACCAGAATTGCTTCCTTGGAAGTGTTATTTACCCACATTATTTTTGAATTTTATAATTTTTCTTGTTTTATTAAACATATGTGATGACAAGCTCTGAATCAATGTGAACTGTATTACACACATGTGATAAACACACAAATGCTCTGGGGCTCAGTTGATGTTTTTATGGGAATGTTCTACTCTGCTTGGTTAAGTTTCTTGGTGAATAAATTTTAGATCATATTGTAACTGAGTGGAATTCAAAACAGAAAAAATACATATTTTATTAAACCTTACAGGCATTTTTAAAACACAAGACTCCACTTCTCTCACAAATTGAAATACAAGTCAAGATCTGCATGTTCTATTGATTTATGTGATATAACAACGTCCCTTAATTCCTGCTCCTAGATGCCCAATCCATATAGGTAGCCCCTTTAAACCTCTGCATTTAGGTTGAGCAATGCCTGAAGTTCTGAGATAAATCATGCACTTAGTTCATTACACAGATGTTCTTTCTGTCAGGCTGGCTCTAGCCCAAGGCAGATAATTAGATTTTTGTCTTGTCCTAAGAACTGCCATGCCCTTGAGGATTCCGGTGTTTCTGCCTCGTTCTTTAGGTTTATTGCTTACCCAAATAGTATGCTAGATGTATTATACATAGCATCTTATTTAACACAGAGGAAAGTGTTGAATTTCTTTCAGAGTAATTTGTTTTAAAATAATGGTAAAATTCTTAATTTAAAAGAGTGAATATTTGTCAAACTGTCACTTCATTTCCTTTAGTGAAGATTTTAGAACAGGTGGTGATAAAGAAATATATAGTGGATATGTGGTTGTTTGGGCTATTGCAAAGCACACTGATCTTTCTTTTACTCAGGCATACTTTCAAACTTTCTTGACATTTACATATATACATTCACATACACATACATTACAACAGTGCGTTATAAAATAGCTACTGCTATCAAGTGTGATGTACTGTGATTTTTAAATTCTATTCTAGTATATTCTTTTGAAAATTAGAAATGTACATATTGATTCTACAACTGACTAATAAGATACAATTCGCAGTTTGAAAGTGCTCTTCAAGTAAGTAGGATTTGACTTTAGGGATGGCTTAAGCTACTGGTGGTAAGGATAAATTCAAGGATTTGTCACTAGAGCATGTAACTCGGTCACATCTCAGGAGATGAAAGTAAACTTTTACTAGGTCACGAGCATAGAGACCAGAGACTTTTTATTCATTTTGAACTTAAGGGTCACACTTTCATTTCAGAAGAGATAGTGGAGATCTGTAAAAATGTTAAGTTTTAATGACTTTATTGGTGCCACTGTATCAAGCTTTGTCTGGAATCAGTCATATTTCTGGATTTTCAGGTATGTATAACAATAAATGCATTTTACATCTAAGTGACTTTTTACTTTCAACTTTTACAAATTTTTTACACATATTTTTCAAAAGTTGATTTCAGAAAATAAAATTTAAATTATACTTTATAATTTTATCAACTAGACACCATTTAATTATGGAAAATATGACTGAAAAGAGACATAATTTGTTCAAGGCTCTCAGTTAATGTGAACTATTTACACAGGTCACGAGGTGGATTCGTGCATTTTAAAATGATTGCTTGCTTCAGTAAAATATGGGTCAATACACATTGCTTTATTATAAAAAACAAGTTTCTGAGGAGAAAATTATTCTCAAATGACTCATAACTGCAAGTAATGAAAGCTGTATTTGTGAGGGCAGATGTCACACCTACTTGAAATGAAGATGGCACTTCTGCCATTTAAATGTGAACAGTCCCAGGATATTCTCTATGTGAACCTAAAGCCTATTGGAATAAATCTGGGAAAGAATTAATATTATCTGACAGATTATTTATAAATGCAGGAATAGAAGATCACCTGTGCCAGGAGAGGTATTCAAACAATTCCTGGGTCTAGTGAGGTGTCCTGTGTCACAAAGGAATTAGTGTCCATTCCATGCTAAGATAAGTTCCAAAGGAGAAAAATGAAACTCAGAGGTCTGGTGTTTGCAGACCAGTCAGAGAAATAAAAGGTTTTAAAAATTGTGAGATAAGTCTTATTTTAGAGATGACAGCATAAAATATGTATCCTGCTTACAACCCATTGTGGGATACTAGACACAGCACATTTTAGCACATACTTCTACTAAGGAGGGCATTTTCATAAACCACTAGACCTAACTGCTTATAAGAATATGTACTTATCTTTTAGAGTTTTTCTAGTAGATAAGGCAGCATGAAATAAAAAATACTTTCTGAATTCTAGTGTTGCCATTTAATGCTTTTGGGGTCATTAAAGACTCTTTATGTTGCATCTAGAAAAATGACAAAAATATCTAAAATTTTACTTATAATATTACAGGGTTTATTATGGTGATTATATGAAAATGTCATTAAAATGTTTTGTGATATGTAAAGCCTGATATGACTTTATTATTTTACTAGATTTATACAATGAAACGTCCTGTGTTTGATCATTTCTCTGGATTTATACAATGAAAAGTTGTCCTGTCTTTGATCGATTCTCTGGAACTAGCAAGAAATAAAATAAACTATCAGTTCAGAGGGATAGATATGAAGGTTAAATTCCTGAGATTACTAAACCTGAAAACATATATGTTATCTACACTGGCAACAAAGAAGTCTCCAGGGAAAATTGTGAAATGCCATTGGAAGTAAAGAGTTAATGACTATATGGAAAAGGAAAAAAATCCCAATAGATGACTATTAATCACAAATACAACTTCTACCATCAGTCACAGAATAACGTAAGTAAAAAACATAATTGCCATCCATAATTTCGACATCATTGCTTTAGTTACAAAAGGTAGTTGTAATAATTTTAATAAAATTTCCCGAAGGTAAAAGGTGAGGGCTGCAAACGGAATGATTCCAAAGCTCAAGAATGACAAATCAGTTAGGCACAGTGGTCTCTCCCCATATTCTATCAATCTAGGCATATATTCCTCCGTAATCTTGGCAGGAGTATAAAAGTTTATTTTCTGAGATATTGAGTGAGAGATGCTGCAGTTCAGGGAAAACAAAGCACAGAAAAATATAAATTATGGGGACTTGTCACAACAGGATGACTATATGAGTTTACATATTGAATAATGAGACTCTTTGCTAATGTGTCCTCCTGCTTGTACCATTTGGCCCAAAGATTGCTGTTGACAGGAATTTACTTTTTACCATAAAATTGAAGATTTTTTTTCCTGAAATAATTGAACAACTCAGGAGGAAATATATATAGTTACAGATATTTACTGGTATCTCAGCATCATGCCTGCATTCCTGGTCAAGTAAACCAGTCCAAGATTCACCAATGCACACAAAACATCCAACTTATCATTACCTCATTATTAAATTCAAATAGGCAGAAAATAATTTTCAAACACTTGAGAAACTCTCCACTATGAAATACTGTGAGAAAATCAACCAAACAAGTAAAATACAAACACAGAGAAAGTAGAGACAACGCAGAAAACAGAAAAAAACTTTAAAAGATAATATACCGATCTCTCGAGGGTAATAATGAAAGATTTCTTAGAAGTTGAAAAGAAAATAGCTAGATTAACAAAATTACCCAATTTTATGTTTGGAAGCTACATTGAAGGAACATTCTCCCAAAGAATAAGAAACAAAAGCATATTTAAACTACCAGAAAATAGTAAGAATATTAATTAGAATATTGATACAAAAAATTCAATATCAAACTGATAATTGTACCAGAAAGAAACACAGAATGAAAGGAAGAAACCTACCAATATGTAAAAACATATTTTACCATGCAAATGGTTTTATATTCCTAAATGAATCAGTATACTTCATCATATGAACAAACTTAAGCAAAAAAACCTCTCATCTCAAAAACTTCAAATAAATTATTCAACAAAATCCTGCATTCATTTCAAAAGAAAAAATTCTCTGAAATCTAGTAATAGAAAGGAAATTCCTAAACATGATAAATGTAAATCTACAACACCAATAAATGCCGTCACTCAAAATGGTGAAAAAATGAATGATTTCCCCTAAAATGAGAAACAAGTCAAAGATATCTCCTTTACACAGTTCTGTTTAACATCATTCTTTTGTTTCTAGCCAGTGCAAAAGGCAAGAAGAAGAATTAAAAGTCCTTCAAATTGAAAAGAAAAATAAAATCACATATGTCTTTATTTGTAGACCATGATTACATAGAAAACTTGTTGGAATCTACAGAAACTTAGTACAACTAGCAAGTGAGTGTTAACAGTTTGCAGGATACAAGATCAATATGTAAAATTCCTTTGAATTTATGTATAGTAGACACAAATGATCAAAAATTTAAAACATAAAATGTAGTCCCATCTAAAACAACTATAAAATGGGAAATACTACTCTGGTTTAGACATTTGTCCCCTCCAAACCTCATGTCAAAATTTAATCCCCAGTGTTGGAGGCGGGTCTTCGTGGGAGGTGTTTGGGTCATGGGGATGGATCCTTATGAACAGATTAATGTTTCCCCTCAGATGTAAGTGAGTTCCCATTCTGTTACTTCCTGTGAGAGCTAGTTATTAAAAATAGCCTGGTACCTCCCCCTCTCACTCTCTCTCTCTTGCTTTCACTGTCACCATGAGATCTCTGCACATGCTGAGTCCCATTCACCTTTCATTATAAGTAGAAGCAGCCTGAGGTCCTTGCCAGATGCACAGGCCCAAACTCAAACTTTCCAGGCATCAGGATCATAAGCCAAATAAATTTCTTTTATGAATTATCCAGCATGAGCTGTTCTTTTATAGCAACGCAAACAGACTAAGATAAAACAAAATCTGACAAATTGCCCAAGAACTGTACACTAAAAACTATAAAACATTTCTGAGAAAAACTAAAAACCTAAAGAAAGAGATATACCTTATTGAAGGGTCTGAGAACCCACTATTGTCCATTGCTATTCCTTTTAAATTGATCTATAAAATTAATGTAATTCCAATCAAAATCCTAGTTAGGCTTTTTGTAGAAATTGATAAGTTAATTACAAATTTTACAAAAAAACCCAAAATATCTAGAATAGTTAGGGAGAAACAACACTGAAAAGAAGGCCACCTTTTATTAAAATCATCCATCCTCTTTTATGGGTGGAGAGTAAGGATAGGAGGAGGTCTGTCTGAAAAAGGTCTACCTTAAACCTCTTTGAACCAAGGTTTCTCTGCTTTTCTCATTATATTCTCTCCTAAATGCCCTATACAGCAGCCTGAGTGTTGGCACCAAACCCTAGTACGGTCAGGTACTGCCTATCCTAAGGCAAAAACCAAGAAAACTAAGAGCAGCTTTCCAACTGCCTTATTATTATTGTTTTAAGAAACACGCTGCTGCAGACTGTAGTAACCCACATAGTCAAACATGCAAAAATTCAAAGAGCCATTTTAACTTAGGGTAGCCTTACAGCTTTTTAAAATTTGTTCTCTAGAATTTCTTCAGTGGCTGACCATGTGGGAGGGAGCCTGTTTAAATTCAGCATCTTGTAAGAAATTAGAACAGACATTTAAAAGATTATTTTTTTCAAAGTGATTTATAACCTTGGAAGGATGTGATTCTGAAACTGCCTGAACCACCTTTCCTGGCTGTGTCAAGGAAGCTTGTCCGCAGGATAATAGAAAAAAGAAGAGTACAGCAGAAACATTTCTAAGGCATTAAGGTATGTGGGTATGTGCACATTTGTGAGAATGAGAGAGAGAAAGAGAAATCCAGTGACCTTTTTCTGAAGCTGGATATTGTTACATTGCTATCCCCAGTGCAACCCTGGATTTCCCAATTACTGTGACAAACTTCCTACTCAATCTGAGTTAAATTTCTGGCTCTGGCAACAATAGAGTGTGGCTTAATGAGCAAGATATTTCTAGATGGGGCTAAAGTTGATATGCTTTTTGTGACACTTTTCAAAGTGTAAGTACCAAGTGACAATCGACTCTGCCTCTCTTTAGCCTGTCCAGGCCTGATATCACAATGACTGACTGAAAATTATTTGAAAGATACATGCTACGAAATTTCCAAGAACATCTGAAAGTACTGGGTTATTAATAATGTATGATTCATATTAGAAATCAGTATATATTTTGTTTCAGTTTGTTATCATGCCTATTTGATACCTATTTCTTCGGTATCAGATTTTGATTGTTATTATGTATACTATTTTAAATTGACTAAATAAAATTTTTAACATAGCATATTTTTTAGTTTCCAAAATAAAGAAATTGCATTGTAGTACACTTGACATACCAGAGACACAGTTGATTTATGAGACTTAGCATTAAACTCATCTGAAGATCTCTTTTGTTTTCTCTTACTGTATATACAAGACACTTAATTAATATCCCCTCCATCTCCCTCCCCTTACAGCTAGGATATGTGCCCAGGATTTAGTGATGACAACCATATTTGGAGACCAGAGGATGTGGAGACAACAGAGTTAACCCTGAGATTCTGACCTTTGTATTAATCAGGCACCAGGATCAATAAAGAAAAGAATTATCCCATTGAAGCTCATCTCTGAGGGATTGTCACAGCATGTAGCTGGACAAGTGTATTAGTTCATTCTCACACTGCTATACAGAAATACTTGAGACTGGGTAACTCATAAAGAAAATAAATTTAATTGACTCATAATTCTGCAGGCTGTACAGGAAGCATAGTGGCTTCTACATCTGGGGAAGCCTCAGGAAACTTACAATCATGGCAGAAGGCAAAGTGGGAGCAGCATCTTCACATGGCTAGAGCAGGAGGAGGAGAACTGCTACATACTTTAAAACCACCAGATCATGTGATAACTCACTCACTCACTATCATAAGAACAGCACAGAATGGATGATGATAAACCATTCAGGAGAACTCTCCCCTTTTGGTCCAATCACCTCCCATCAGGCCCCACCTCCAACCCTGGGGATTACAACTCAACATGAGATTTGGGTGGGGACAGAAATCCAAACCATGTCAATGAAACCGAGTGTTATTTACCCACAGGGCTGCCGTATTTTAAGGCCTACCTTGGCACAATCCCCTCCTTGAGACACCTGTGAGTTCCTGCCAAAATGTTCGCAAACTTGCTAATTCCTGCCTCTTTTTTGTGGGAGGTAAAAGTGTACTATCCATCAGTTGGTTCTGTGTCCTCCAATATCTGAGTGATAAACATTCTGGGATTTTGTGAGTTCCTGTTTCCTTGGGGAGGTAAGAGGATAAAAAGGACTTACGTGCATACCTGATGAAATGTCAGGCGATATCCTGTACCATATTAGAGGATAAAACCATGAGAAACTGGTCTGGATGATAATCTTGGCAATATGGGATTTGGGGTACTACTGTGAAGTGACATTGATTGTACTCAAAGCTTTAAGAGCTGGAGACACATACATGTGTTGTGCACGCACACACACACACACACACACACACATATGTATAGTATCCCAATGCTTGGATTATGATGGTTGCTTATTGAATGATAGCAATCAGAGTTGTTACTGTTATTATTACCATTACTGATACTACTAATACTGCTGTCACTATAGTTTTACCTTAGCCATACTCAGATTATGTTTTACGGAAATAATAATGATTAATCTATAAACTCACTAGCTAGTTCAGTCTTCCATTCCACAGAGAACTTCACCAGCATAGCGTCCTACAACATAAAACAGTATGCTTTATTTCATGACACACTTTACAAATTTTTATTAAATGACAGAATGAATTCTAAATGTTGACAAAATTGTTCTGAGGTATGCATTCCACATGGCTATGAATCCACATGATTCTGTCATTATGAATGGAAAAGAAAATGAAACAACTAATTCGAGCTAGTGTTATTTTAATTCAACTTTGGACTTGTCCATGCTTTGAATTTTAAAAGCCAGCTCTCTTGTTTTTCGACATGGTTCTTATAAATGCAACTTTGTTTGACTCTGTCATAGGCAGCATTAAGATGGAAGTTACAGATGTTCTTAGACTGCGCTTACTTAAGCATTGCCAGCCACTTGAGGGTGGCTCTTGGCAAGGGCAAAGCTGTCAAAACTCACAGGTTGTGCCCATATGCGAAGGCTTGTGCCTTTTACTACATCTCCTTTAATTTCAAACATTTTGGAACCAGTGGCTCAGAACACAATATCCTGTAGAGCTGGGCTCATACTTCAGTGAAAGGGAACAACTTTGCAGATGATCAACTTTTACAATTTCTGTTCATCGTGTGGTTGATAGAGAAACAATGAAAATAGACAGTGTATTCTTTTCTCCTGCTTTATCTTATTTTAATCCGGGGTCATGTAAAACTTGCTAAATCAGTTGGGTTTACAAGTTTTCAGGTGAAACTACTGTTGTTCCTGTACTTTTCCTGTGAAGGTTACAGAATTTTTCCACAGGCCCCACCTCTCCCTATTCTAGGCCAGTGAGCTGAGAACAATCAGAAAGATATGACCGGCTGCTGGATTTTACCCTGTGATTATGAAGATGAAGGGAAGATATGTGTCTAAGTGATGTTTTCTTACTGTAATTAGAAAGAAGTACAATTAAAATTTCTACTTACTTTAAAATAATCTCAAACAGCTCTATTTTATGCAGCTATGAGTCTCTACCTGGAAATTTATACTGTTGTTTGGCTGCTATGTAACTGACTTGAGGCAAATGGTTAAAAAATAGCACAAAGTACACAACATCAGTAAAACCTAATGAAACAAATTTTGCAAATGATAGGAGCCCTGATAATACATGAGAAAGAAGAGAAAGAATATGAGACACTATTGTATGAGAATGGCTGAAAGTATTACTATATACAACAAAAGATGGTAATAAAACATTTGTGTATAAACTTAAATATATTAGATTGGAACACACAAAAATTAGATCTTTTTAAAAAACCAATGGTTTAATATTGATTTTACAATAGTGCTGAGATGAAGGACTTTGGAATTCCAATTTTTGGAAACAGCAGCAGTTAGGTACAATCAATACATTCATGAGGTGAAGATACTGCCTAGGGGAAGCTCTCTGGCCCAGATTTGTCTCTGTCTCTGAAAATATTTTTGAAAGGTTCTTCACTTTTAAGGACCTATTTCATTAGGTTGATTCCTAATCAAAGATAATCTCCTAATCTTGTGATCCTTAATTTAATCAAATATTCAAAGTACCTTTCACCATGTAGAATAGCATTTCTGCAGATTCTACAGATTGACATGTGAACATCTTTGGGAACCTTAATTCTGACTATCATACTTAGATTTGTTTATTTTTCTTTTGGTGGGTTCTGCTAGGTAAATTAGTATAACCTTGAGTGTATGTGTGATTATTAGAGTAAGGTGTAACATATTAGCAAGTTTTATAGAATTTATCTCAGATAATTCTTAGATTTTATATATATATATATATATATATATATAGTAAGAAATATGCTCTTATGCTTGTTATATAATAACATTTTATATAATTGCACATAGATTTTAGTAATTAGTTCTTACGAATTGTTATGTTTGTATAGTATGTTATATCAATAAGTATTTATTTGTATGAAGATGTCAATTGAAAGCAGCAAGAAAGTAATATATGAGAAGCACATACCATGTGGAAGCCATACATATGATTCCATATGTATGGAAAATGCTAAGTCGAATTTTCTTTAATTTTTGCTTTCTACATTTT